>NC_000003.12:167947998-168099513 GCF_000001405.40 Homo sapiens | reverse complement strand
GATACATTGAGTGGGGTTCAGTTACTCAGTTATGCATTCAACCACAGACCTACTTTTTAGTTTGTTAATCTTCTAACAATTACTACTAGGTCATTATCAAAATCCTATGAAAAAGGAGTCTCAAAACATCTTTCACAAAATGTTCAAAAAGACATAATACCTTGAATGCAGCTTTCTTTACCTCTCAAAACAGGTCAGGTAAAAGTGGCAATCAGCAAGGCAAGTGTATTCATTAGGGGACAGCAAACTGATGAAATGGCAAAAAGGTGAAGACATCATAGAGTGAAGATTGTTTTATAGGATAAATAACTTTTGTAATTGTCAGATGAAAAGATTAAAATTAGTTTATTAATACTGAAAAGCTATTTTAAATTTTATTTACTATTCATCACCTTTTCTTAGGTGATGATTTCTCCTACAAATTACAAAATATTGAGTTCCATTTGTAGTAAAGAAATTTAAATAAAAGATTTAGATAATAGAAATTATTTACTCTAGGATCCTAAATATTATTAATTTAAAATCTTACTTTTAGAAATTATACGTCAGCTGTCTCTCTCAACTTTTTATTTTTTCCTTCCCTTATTTTGAAAATGAACAAATTTGATTAAAATGACAAATTCACTTAAGTTAGAGAGAATTAATATTCCCAAATGTTATATTTGCCCTTCTCAAATGTAAGACCTTGAGTATCTTTAAGTTAATTTCTTCCTGCCTCAGAAATAAAATACTAAATCAGTAAAATTCTTCAGGGTTTATAATTTAAAGTTAAATATATTGTTAAATATATGGAATATAGAAATATAATTATATATACTATTTTTAAAATAACAAAGAAGCAAAAATAAAATAGAATGAACAACACACCTTCCAAGACCAGTATAAACAGCTGTTATGTTATAATTGCTACCCAAAGGCAATGTTATGTAAATTCATTTTATAGGCCTTGGATAGCTTCCTCATGTTGGCCGCTCAAAAGCTCTATACTGACATTTTCAGGAAACTAGCAGCATACTTTACCTTGGAAATGTAATATTATAAAAATACCACCATTAGTAATTTTATGTACTTCTACATACCCTTCTTGAATTTGAAATAATGGATAAGTTCAGGTAATAATTTTTGCTGTCTTTCAAATTTTATGACTAAAATATTGAGTTGTGTTTTATGGCCTGCATTTATTATGTTCTGTAGAGTCAGCCAGCAGCTTTAGGCAAAGAATATCTTTGGAGTCTGGAATCAGATGCAAAGGAATCAGAGGTTTAAGATGAATCATACATTCAGGAAACATAAGAATTTTCCAAAGATTCTAAAATACATATTGTACAATATATGAGCAATAATTTTCCAACCCTCTATACAACTTCTTTTTCTTTTGTGGCTAGGATAATTTTCTCTTCAAATATGGGGCAAGATTATTGCCATAAACTTTATTTATTTATATATTTATTTATTTTGAGACAGAGTCTCACCTCTGTCGCCCAGGCTGGAGTGCAGTGGTGTGATCTTGGCTCACTGCAACCTCTACCTACCAGGCTCAAGGGATCCTCCCAACTCAGTTTCCCGAGTAGCTGGGACTATAGGTGCACGCCACCATGCCCAGCTAAATTTTTATATATTTTTTTTTTTGTAGAGGAGGGGTTTTGCTATGTTGCCCAGGCTGGTCTCATACTCCCAAACTTAAGCGATCTGTTCGCATTAACCTCCCAGAAGTGCTGGGATTACAGGAGTGAGCCACCATGCCCAGCCTAAATTTGGATAGTGTTTTTGGAGGAAGAGTTTGTTTAACAAAGTACTCTGACAACAGTAAGGAATGTTTAGTTATGAGGAATTTTAAAGAGATTCCAGTAATTATCCAATGTTAATTTCTGAGAGTCAAACTAAAAAAGAGGAATTTAAAGTGGTAGATTTAATAATAAGGAAGATTATGTAGTATTTACACAACAAAACTCCCAAACTCCTTTAGACTGTTTTCTTTTACAATCAGATTCTCATGTTAATGGAGATATAATTTCTTACTGTAACTTGTTTAATAGAATGAGAACATTGTTTCTATTGAAGAAAAAGACATAGAGCAGGGTTTGGATCTGGATTCTAATCTTGCTGAGTAACTAACTTTATGCAAGACCTAAAAGGTCCTAGAGCTGTCATAGTCACTTTGATAAACTTTGGCTTCTTTACCAACATGAAAGTCTAACACCCTGGCTGTGATCAGTGAGACAGTGTATCTGCACACGAAAGCATTTTGAATAATTTAACGCAAGTTATTATTTATTAAGGAAAAGCACATGCAAGACACACTTTATTTTTACAGTGGTATAAATGCCACAGGGTAGCATCGTTATAAATTCAGTTTATTTTAGGGCTTTAGCAACCTATAATTTCAGAGTCCACCTAAAAAAACTTTTGCACCAGGAACTGTCTTTCTGTTGCATTTAGCTAAAGAGATTTACCCCCATTTTGAGCACTCAGGCCCATTAGCAATGGTAACGACTAAAGTCCAGTTAGAATATAAAAATTATGCAGTGTATCATAAATTACACCACACTATACAGACAGATAAAATTTACTTTTCTTAGAATTCAGGTCAACAGCAGAAACAAAAATTATCATTTGTGCATAACCTTAATTATTCCCCTCAAGTACACAGAAAAAATAAATGCAGTATACATTTCTTCGAAGAGGTTTGTGGTTACTACCTTTCCTGTGCTGTACTAGTTTTTACATAGGGAACCTTTGTTGCCCTTTAAAATGTAATTTAGAAATGTAACTGATGTGTTTTGCCACCAATAAAACAAATACATATGACAAAATGAATGGATACTCATTTCAGTCTGTACGATTTGTTTTTAAATTATTCTATTTGCAGCTAGAGGAGAAATGTGAGACCATTTCTTTCCTCTCTGCCAATGGCAAGCCGATTTCCCCAGCCCACGTGGACAATTGAACATTAAGTCTAGCGTGCTTCCAGTCTCCCGACTCCTGCCGGGCCATCTGTGGGCACACACACATCTAGGCTAGTACACTGGATGGGGTAAGGCAGTCGACATGGCATCTCTGGTTTGACTACCGGGATTGTGCTATGTAGCTATCCCATGTGTCTGCCGCATCAGTTTATTGGACAGGGAAAGAAAGTGTACTCAGCAGAGTGCACACAGTTACTGCCATCCATTCTTTCGTTCATACACACATTTTACTCCGCTCTCCACGTGCGTTCCGAACGAGAACTGGAACACACACACACACACACACACACACACACACGTGTTCACCGAACCTCACCCAGACTCAGGCCCGGACAAGTCCCCCGCCCACCCAAAGCTCCCCGCCCTTCGCCCTTCCGCCTGCCTCTTCCCACCCTCTCCGACTCCACGTGGGCGCACCCCGGCGCCAGGCGGCCGCGCTGCCCACAGAGCCCCTAGCCGGCCCCGGCACTGGGAGGGAAGGTGCGGCCCTGGGGTCGGACGGACAAAGCCGGCATCCAATCGAGCCCGGCACTGCCTCCCCGAAGGGAGGGAGCGTCTGCTCGGACGGGCCCAATGAGCAAGGAGGCCGAGTGGGACTTCCTCCCGGAATCCCGTTGGCCAGAATAGCCGGGCCGTGGGTGACACGTAAGTTGGGCAGGAGGTGGCGGGGCGGCAGAGGCACCAGCCGACCCGTCAGTGACACCGCTGTGCCGTCCCCAAAACCAGCCGAGACAGCTGGCCCCCACCCTTCCACCCATTGGGCAGGCCGCACGGGGGCGCGGCCCGGAGTCCTGGTCCCTTTGTTGGGCGCGCACCCCCTCCCTTAGGTGGCAACAAAGTCGTGCAGTGGGAGCCGCCGCGATAGGGCGGGGAGTGGCCAGGGCGGGACTCCAAGAACTGCCCGGGGGCAGCGGGGCCAAAAAGTGGGAAGAAGGAAAAAAGGCAGGAGGCATCTGGGGACAGGCGCGAGGGCAGCCGGCTCTGAAGTATGCGGAGGGCCTCCTCCCGGCCCCGGGCATTCGCGGAGAACGAGCCTCGCAGAAGTTTGGCTGCAGCTGCCCGGGCGGCGTCGATGGCTGCGCGCCCCGCGCCGCGCGGGGGCTGAGCGGGCGCCACTTCCCCTCCGGGCCGGCTTTTGTGTCTGGCATCTCCTCCTCATGCTGCGTCTGGCCACCTACTGCGGCGGCCGCTGCTGAGACGCTCGCTCGGACCAAGGGGAGGAGACGGCGGGGGCGGCCGCGGCTTTGGGTCCAGGCGGGACTATGGGAAACGGGATGTGCTCCCGAAAGCAGAAGCGGATTTTCCAGACGCTGCTGCTGCTGACCGTCGTGTTCGGCTTTCTCTACGGCGCGATGCTCTACTACGAGCTGCAGACGCAGCTGCGGAAAGCCGAGGCGGTGGCGCTCAAGTACCAGCAGCACCAGGAGTCCCTCTCCGCCCAGTTACAAGGTACGGCTAACGGGACGCGCGCAGCCGGTGGCCAACTTTGCCCCGCGCCTCCACCCGGGCAGGAAAAGTGGCTTTGGTGAGCTATTGGCACTGTGGTTGCCACCTCTGACCTTCAGGGACGTCAGAGGTGAGCGTTTCAGGACTGCCGGCACCAGAGTGTCAGGGGAGATGACATTCTCATCCTCCCGCTTCTTCCTCCCAGCGGTTAGGTTTAGAACTTCGTAGCACCAGCCCATCGTCCCGCTGGGCGTTTGGTGGGCGGGTGCACAGATAGTCCTTTACCCGAGCTCTTGTCAAAGGCCCAGCTGCAATCGGGGCAGGGAAACTGGTAGCCCTCCGCCGCTTCTGCCAGCCCTGCTCTGAGGAGCATTGTTCCGTGGATTCTAGGTATTTGCTTTCTTGTTGACTTTGTCAGTTGCTTAAAAAATGAAGAGTTTGGCAGAG
The DNA here is from genome assembly GCF_000001405.40 of Homo sapiens. Classification (NCBI taxonomy): domain Eukaryota; kingdom Metazoa; phylum Chordata; class Mammalia; order Primates; family Hominidae; genus Homo; species Homo sapiens. The sequence continues at coordinate 168,094,654 of NC_000003.12, read as the reverse complement.
ATTTCTCAAACTGTGCTGTTTTTCAAGGGAAAATTAAGCCATGACCCAGCAGCTTAATTAAAGTCATGGCCCAGTCGAATGGAAGGAACCTAGATCTGGACCTGCTAGTTTCTTATTTCTTATTCTTTTAATTTAATAGGATGTCTTTAGAGATGCTGGATGTGTGGGAAAAGTCCACACTACATACCATTCACCATCCTGCAGTAGTTTATTTCTTTAAAAACAGGTTTACTTGTCTTCCTAAGTAGCTTTTACTTCATCACAGAGATGCATGTATGTTACAGTTAGCTTCGGGAAGCCAAAGAGGAGAAACACAGGTTTTCACTTTGCCATGCACAGCAAACCCAACTTGAGCAAGACCTGTAGAAGAACTTAAAGTTTCTATCCTATTTTAGAATCTAATTTAATGTAATTTTCACAAACATAATTTACTTTAAATGTAAATTCAGAATTTGAATTTGAATTTACTTTTAACGTAAATTCAAAGTCAGCACCATGTCCTCTTGTTAAGGACGTATCCTATACATATTTTTTTTGCAAGCTTTTACTTGTGGTTAGTTTTCAATACTTATGCAGCTTTCTCCCCAACCAAAAAATAATAATAAATAGCTGTAAGTGGTGAAATGTTGGCAGACTTTGCTGATGATGCAAATATAGCTTGTTTAATATTGCTAGGTAGATAGATGCAAGCTAGAGGGATGTTTCTGTGTATGTGTGTGCAGATATGAAACAGATGCCTCTTCTTTGCTTCAGTTATTTTGAGTGTTTTCTAGTAAAAAATTTAAGATGAGAGAAAATGATACACATCCGATTGTTTGGACTTAACTTGCTCTTCCCAACTTAGAAGAAAGAAAAGTATTTTTAGCTTACTGACGCTGCATAGCCACAGGCAATGAAAATATATGGCTCGGCTTGGTTCAAAAGTAAAACCCGTTTTGATACGCTCTTAGGTTCACAAAATTTTCTTTAAACTCATTGAAATTTACCCATGAGTTATTGTTGGTATGAGAATATGGATATTTGTTTACTTATTTATTTACAAGGTATCAGTTGCTTCCCTGTGAAGTTCCATGGAGTCAGACCAAGGGAAAAATTTACCGTCTAATAGTATAACAGGACTAGATTTTCATAAACATGGCTGGAAGGGGCATGTATGGTGGATTATATGAGGTTGTGTGTGCCTTGGTCTCTTAGGAGTCCCATGAGGGCAAAGGCTGTCATTTTCACCATTACCTCCTCAGCACCACACTGTGCCTGACACTCATTAGGGGAATCAATGCATGTTTATTCAAACAACAAACAAAAATTATTCTGAACTGTGGCGAGTAAGTTCATCCCAGGCACTTTTGTCTTTCTGAGACTTTGCTTCTGTGTCTTTGCTTTTTGAAAGCCAAATAAAACAAGAAAATATTTTGTTCAAGTAGCTCCTTTGCCTCAACGGCCTATGATGGACGATGGATATTGTTGACTGAGGCCCTAATTTCTGAATAATGGCCTTTATTTGCAGTATTTCATTTTGAAATTTTAGAAATTTCTTTTCTAATTTGCCTTTTCTTTTTTTAGTGGTGGTGGTGGTAGTGGGGAAGAGAGGTGGTAAATGGTAATACAGGATCATTAAAATATACAACTTTTGTTTTGCAGCAGATGGAAATGTTCTACCTAATTTGAATAAGTGGCTTCAAAGTCCCTTTCTTAATTTATTCTTTTGTCATTTCCTCTCTAATTATGGTGCTACAAAACTTGCAGTATAATTGTGCATGAATAATTATTTCACAAGCAGGCTAAAGTATTTTTTTGTTTGTTTTTGTTTTTTGTGGATTCACTTTTGACTTCAGTAGCATTTATTTTGGATTTCCCATGTGTAAGCCATTTAATGTACATTTTCTGGTGGTATGCAACTTTTGCTTCCCTTTTCCAAGACAAATGACATTTTACTCAACAGCACTGTGTACCACCTGCATAGATGGGCTTTTAGGACATCAGGCTCTCCAGTCTTAATACTTGTTTAGTTAGGTGGGATTGCTTGACCTGGCTTGGATTAAGATCAGAATTAATGACTTTAAAAAGAGTGGTCTTTTTAAAAATGACTCTTGAAAAAATTTCAGTAGTTTAGACCTATAATCTGATGATGTGCGTTCGTTAAGTGAGCGTATTTAGGTCACCTTCAGTTTAAGAATAGATTATACTCCATAGATTCCTTTGAAAGTGGGTTACTTGTAACCCCAAGTTAACAAGTTTTATTGTAGAAGAGCCCCATAACTAGAAGATGGTGGGGATGGCATGCAGAAAGGTCAGAGACTAGGCAAACCCCTTCCACTATAAAAATATCTATGTCTGCCTGTTTATCTATCCCTCTTAGCAATCAGTCATCTATTTATCTCCCATACTGGCACCTTAATTATACTGAGGAGTGGGACAGAGGTCACATACTGGTGGCAAAGGTAATAACAATCTTTGGCCAGCACAGTGTTTATATAACCTTTAAAGTTTTTAAACTGCTTTCAAGTGAGCCATGCTCCATTGTCTGTATCTATAGGCAGTGTTTCTCAGTCTAGACTGCCCATTAGTATCACCTGGTGGCTCCCAGACCAATTAAATAACAGTCTATGGGGGGTGGAACCCAGGCTTCAAAAGTCTTTAAAGCTCCCCTGGTGATTCCTGTGTGCAGCCAAGGTTGAGAGCCACACCTCTATAAAAAATCTTAAAACTGAGCCTTTCCGTGCATTTACTTTACTTGTTTGGCCCCAGAGACACTTGAATTTTTTATCTGAGTATGTGATTAAAAGCAGACTGGTTTCTAGACTGTAATTCAGTTCTAGTTCTACAACCTTTTGTGTGAACCTTGACGTTTTTCTTATTTATAAAGTGGAGATTAGAATAACCTATTTTATAGAGGTATTGTGAGGATTAATGAAGATGATAGACTGTAGAGCTCTTAGCACATACTTGGCATATAGTAGGTACTGCTCGTTAAAAGTTAGCTGTTATCAGAATCCCTCTTTGAGGTAAGCTGCTTTATCCCTTTTACTCTTGCCAGGTTTGTCATGGGTAATTTCAAATTTTGAAATTGGCAGAATTTGTTTATGTAGCTAACCACCTCCTTTTATTGTACCTTAAATGAACATCAAGGAATATGCAAACATCCAGTGTACTTTAATCAGAAGAAAGGACCTTCCTTGACAATTTAAACTTGGACTGCGGTTACTGATTAACTCTGTTCTGGATCATATCAGATTAGGAGAGGGTGTGACTGCTAAGGTAATAATTATGTGCTGTGAGATCTGGGAGAGAGATATAACTATTTAAATTTTTATAAAAGGCATTTAGTGTAGAGGCAAAGAGCCTGACATTCCTAAAACACAGTATTGCAATGCTTTTGGACTTCCAGGGATAAGGAGAAACCATCCAGAAAAAGTTTATGTAAGGTTTATATGTTCCTATTCCAGATGAATATGTTACAACTATTTAAAATTTTAAAAAAAGGTCACAAATGTGACGTGTAGAAGTGCAGAGTTACAAGTGTGGATTTCTCACATGCATATATTGAGTTGTGGTGAAGTCTGGGCTTTCAGTGCACCCAAAGAATGGACATGTTTACCCCACAGGAAAATTTCCAACTCTCACCCCCTGCTAGCCTCCCACCTTTTGTAGTCTCCACTTCCACTCTCTATGTCCATGTGTGCCCGTTGTATAGCTCCCACTTGTAAATGAGAACATGCTATCTTCGACTTTTCTTTTTCTGAGTTATTTCCCTTAGGATAATGGCCTCCAGGTCCATCCATGTTGCTGCAAAAGACATGATTTCATTCCTTGTTACGGCTGAGTAGTATTCCATGGTGTATATATACCACATTTTCTTTACCAGTTCTCTGTTGATGGACGCTTAGGTTGATTCCATATCTTTGCTGTTGTGAATAGTGCTGCAATAAACATACAAGTGCAGGTATCTTTTTTGTATAATTATTTATTTCCCTTTGGGTATATACCTAGTATTGGGATTGCTGGAGTGAATGGTAGCTCTATTTTTAGTTCTTTGAGAAATCCTGATACTGTTTTCCAGAAAGGTTGTGCTAGTTTACATTCCTACCAACAGTGTATAAGCATTCCCGTTTCTTTGCATGTTTGCCAACATTTGTTGTTTTTTGACTTTTTAATAAAAGCCGTTCTGACTAGTGTAAGATGGTATCTCACTGTGATTTTAACTTGCATTTCTCTCATGCTTAGTGATGTTGAGCATTTTTTCCTATGTGTGTTGTCTTCTTGTCTAGCTTCCTGTTAAAAATGTCTTTTCATGTCCTCTGCTCAGTTTTTAATTTTTTTTTTTCTTGTCAAGCTGCTTGAGTTCCTTGTAGCTTCTGGATATTAGCCCTTTATCAGGTGCATACTTTGCAGATATTTTTTCCTATTTTGTAGGCTGTTTACTGTGTTGTTTCTTTCGGTGTGCAGACATTTGTTATTTAAGTGTTTTTTGCATTGGGCTCCTCTAACACTCAGGATGGCCCACTGGCCTAAGCATGAATACATCTTGTCATTGGTTACTTCTTTGCTTTCAACCTTCCCTAAATCTACTTTTAGAAAGGAAACATTGGCCAGGCACCCTGTCTCTCGCCTGTAATCCCAGCACTTTGGGAGACTGAGGCGGGTGGATCACTTGAGATCAGGAGTTTGAGACCAGCCTGGCCAACATGGCTAAACCTCATCTCTACTAAAAATACAAAAATTAGCCAGGTGTGGTGGCACATGCTTATAATCCCAGCTACTCAGGAGGCTGAGGCATGAGAATTGCTTGAACCTGGGAGACAGAGGTTGCAGTGAGCCCAGTCACCCCCCTGCACTCCAGCCTGGGCAACAGAGCGAGACTCTGTCTCAAAAAAAAAAAAAAAAAGAGAGAAACATCTTCAGCACAGAACCAGGCTTTTTTTATTCCTTCATCTCCAGCGTCTGGTGCCTGGTAGTACCTATGTAGTACTTTTTCTTGGCCTATTAATGTGCATATATATGGTGGTATTGTGCGCAGTGAGGTATAATAGATACAGGCTGAGGCGTCAGAGCACTTGGATTTGATTTTCTGCTATCTTATTTTGCTAGCTGTGTGGTCATGGGCAAGTTATTTAACCTTTCTGTGACTCAATCTATTCATATGTAATAATCAGGATAATAGTGCTTACAAAAGGTTATCTTGAGAATCAATAGTGTTAGCTGATGTGCAGTGCTTAGAAGGGTGTAGCTTGCATTTTGGATGATTGAGGAAACATATACAACAGAGTGGTTCATAGACCTCAGCAATTTAGACCACAAGTGTGGGCAATGTGTGGTAGGTGTACTAATTTTCAAGTGCAGCGTTAGAACTTAAAACATGAACTAGACATTGTCTATTAAATGGACATCTTCACTGAAGTACAACTTAGAGTTAAATGAAGAGACTATCATTTTTGCTTGATCCTGTACCATTTAGAATATGGAACAAAAATACTCTTAAGTTCAGTAATTTTTATTTGTGTGTAAATTCCTTCCCTGAATAAAAGATAAAAGCTTCCAAATACCTTTTGAAGCTCTAATTCAGTGAAGCATTCTTTTGAATATGTATGATTTGCACATAATCTATAATCGATTTCACACGTTGTGCCCACCTTAGTCATCCCTCTAATATGTAACATGCCAACTCTAATGAGAGTACTGGTGTCCAGGTAAATAATTGGTTGCTGTGTAAGAGAATTACTTGTTATCTGGGAGCCTTTAGTTTAAGTTCCAAGTAGATTGGAAGCCTTGCCTTGATTTCTTTTTATTCTTTCTTTTCTTAGGAAGGACAGTTTCCAAAAGGGCTGGGGTACAATACCACATTACTGTGGCTGAAGGAATAAGTGAATTGGAGTTGGGGAAATGAATACTGACTAAATATGGTGTGAATCAAAAAGCAAAGGATTGGAGAGAAACCAGAAGAGGGCAGGGAAAGAAAAGGGGACACATATCACCTGGTGACTTTTCAAAGTACTGAGGAAGAGTTTTGTTCACATCTTTATGTCCTAAAAGAAAAGCAGCAGGAAATGGTGACTGGAGAGCTGGTTGGGGCATCAGATGTGGTTTCAGTGCAACTCAGGCATTTACCAGCAGGGTGACCTTGAGCAGGCAAATAACCTCTCTGAACTTCAGCCTCTTCGTGTTTTAATTTGGGTTAGCAATGTCTAACTTGCAAACTTGTATGGATTAGAAATAGTGCATCTGAAGTGACGAGTATGAGTCCTGGAGAATATTACTACTACCATTTATTAGGTGACCAGAACTACTGTTGTTGAATTAACATTGGGCTTCTTTTTATTTTGCCCAGCCTTTACTACATCTAGTAGGTAAGAGTGTTATTAGTGCTGGCCTAAAAGTGGCTCCTTTCACTATGTGCCCTACTTGGCTGAAACTTTTTGATTAAGATATTCTCACTCTGTCTTTTCTACCCTTTTGAGCCGTTCTTGGGGTGGAAAAAACCTGAAAATGCTTTACATGATAGCAACTAAGAGTTGTTGTTTTTCATTTTGACAGCCAATGGTTCTTCTTTTATCATTAAGGACAAAGTGGTTTTGCTACTTTTGCCAGTAGATGGTTTATGGGTTTTATAGCTTTATTTTGAAGTGAAAGTTATATATCATATAGCTTTATTATAAAAGAAAAATGATAAACTATATTTTCTTTTTAGCCAGTGTTCTTTGGAGTGAATTTTAGTAGAATTTTGAAAACTTATTTGAGAAAATTAAATTATTTTTAATCCATAACATTTATTGAGTACCTACCATGTTCGGGTTCAATGCTAAGCTTATTACATGCATTATGTCATTTAACTGTGACACTAGCACTTTAATCTGAATGAGCAATCTGAGGCTTAGAGAGGTTAATTAACTTGCCAGTGTCAAGATCTAGCCTGATGAAACTAAGCTTAGAAACCTAATGTAACTTTTTCCATAGTGCATCATTGCCCTCAAAATTATTTTAGTGTCTCTCATGACAGTATTAATGGTTTTAAGAAAGTAGGTTAGGTGGGTCATATGGGGATTCATGATAAAATTTAGAATCAGAAATAACGGGTGTACTATTTGATGCAGCATTTCCAGGGTACAAGAAATTTGCTGCTGGTATGAAAGATGATTTTGGTTGATACTAGAGTTGATTTTATGTGGCATGTAGATGTTGCCTGAAATGACAGTGAATCATATAATGAAAAACTTATTTCCTTTCAATGCTTTCCTGACAAGTAATGGAGAAATTCTCAGTCTGATGCTAGAATCTCTCTCCTAGAGAGTTGCTTCTCTGTTTTTCCAAAGAGAATAGACGTTAGGCAGCCAACAACTTGATAGCTAGAATTTGATAATTGTTTTGTTGTATTATTGTATTTAATTTTAAAATTAAATCTATTACCAATCATTAATGCTATGTAAATCAGATTTTTCATTTATAAAGTAGTGGTGTAAAAGTTTCCTGTTTAAAGTTTATTTTAAGGAAAAATAAACTTATTTAAGTGATTATTTGGTGGATTCAAAAAAACTGTACAGGTTTTGCATGAGTGTAGTAAGAACTCGCCTGAGGGGTGCCTGCATGTCTGAAGTTTAGGAATGCATTGACTGATCAAGTTGGATACAGACACTGAATTTTACAGTTAGTTAACTGAATTCTAAGGTGGATAAGTCACTTACCAGGTAGCTTAAGCTAAGCTGAGAGCCCACATACTCTGACTCTCAGTACAAGATAATACCCCTTCACTGCTCTGTGCTGTCTCTGTAGACTAGGACCCTCTTCTCTGTGAGAAGAAATGGGCATTGCTATTTTTAAACAGTGCTGTGTATTTCTGAATGGTATATTTGTGTTCTTTGTTTTTATTGGCCCATGAGTGCATATGCAGAAGACATGTCAGTCATTGTCCTTCACTGATAAGCTTTACTAAATAGGCTCATAGCCCGGAGGGACATGGGCATGAAATAAATTGCTCTCTATAGCCGTATGACATTTTAAAAAATACTGCTTTAACTATTTTTCATACATAAAATGTCACAATATGATAGTGAATAGAAAATTAAGATGTGCTGTCATTCTGAAGGATAGGCATTATAGAACATTGAAATGATATTATTTGCTTTTCTTTGGGAGTGCATGAAGTTAAAAAAATTATAATCATTTTAGGAGAGTCAGACATTTCATTTTCCAGTTCACATCTCATTTAAAATGCCTCCTTTAATTGGAATCTTTGTTACAAACAGAAAAAATAATCTGCAAATCAAGATATTTAGGACAGCTTTGACATTGCTTATGTGTTCTCTTGATAATAGCTATGATGCTGTCAAATAAATATTATAAACAGATTAAAATTTGGCAGTTGATAATTGATTAATTTGGTTTAGAGAAGTTTATCAAGTTTTATATTAGTGAGATTTATTAATAAATAATATTAATATTAGAAATCTATGATGCTTGCCCTTCTGCATTAGTAGCTCAATCTTTTAACAGACAGAAAATGTTTTAAATTATTTTATATTTTATTTAGAGGTTTGGATGCTATAAAACAAGTTAAATTGTATTGATGTCAAACATCACTTTTATTAAAATATGAAAAATAATTTTTTTTACTGTATAGGCGGTCATCACCTCAAAATCTAGATGCCATCCAAATTTGATCCAGGTGTGGGTGAGGCCCCTTAGGTATCCATACAATCTTTAACTATAATTCTTCAAGTATGCTTCCTCTTTATCTGTAGATCTGTGAAACCAGAGTCAAATTACCTGCCCTCAACACAGCCAACATATGGTGGTAGGACAGGCATAAAATACCTAGATATTCCTGTTTAAAAAAAAGGCAGAAATGTGAGAAAAATAGGAGTCACCTGTCAATAGGAATTTGAAGTCTGTTGAGGCAAGTGCTCCTGTAGTAGGTCTCAAAGCCTGGGAATAGTTCTCCAGGGCTCTTGACTGTACCATTTGGTTTCTTGGTTCCACTCTGAGTCATCTTTCCTTTTTCGTGAAAGGTGGCATATGTTTGCAGCTGAGTGGTTTTCTCAGCCTGCTTCCTACCGGTAGAATTTTAAGGACCCGTGGCCTTTTTAAATTTAGTACTGCTTCTACCCCTTTTGGTCCAAATAGGCAGTGGTTCTGCTGATACAATCTTCTCAAAAAGTTTGTGGGTCTCCTGTGAAACTTCTTTGAATTTTCTCCATTAGCCAAAAGCCACATTCATATATCTCTTGGAGATAAGTCTTCTCTACTTTGGGCTTGTGCCAAGATCGGGGAGAGACAATGCATGCCCTTAAATTTCCCAAAGGCTCATTATGAGGCTCTGAGGAACCCTTAGGAGGTTCTGTCATCTGATGAAATAGTACTCTGAGATATCACTTTTGATCATTCCAAGATTTTAACAAACCGATTTTATAAGACACCCTCCGCTTTTGTCTTTAGACCATGTTTTTCTGATAGTGTCCTGGAATTGATCTTATCTTAAAAGCTGTTTCTTAATTTCAACATTATTTGCTGTCTAGAGAAGCTAAGAATTTTCGTAACTATCAAGTCCTGCCTCCTTTTTGTTTAGCAGTACTTCCCCCAATGTATCTCTTTCTTCTCATAGTTTACCATAAGACAGTAAGAAGAAACCAGGTGACATCTTCAGCACTTTGCTGGTAAATGTCCTTAACTGGATAAGTCAGTTCATCTGGCACATTTTTTTTTTTTTAATTTCCATGTAACTATAAGTGACTGCTGGTCACATTAACTACACCTAAGTGTGGTTATTGCTAAACTTTAGCCACTACATAATTTTTAGTTTCCATAAACATTTTCTCACTTTCATTTAAGCCCTTCCATCAGCCTTCTTAAATTCCAAAATTCTATGTAGAGTGTGTTCGAGGCACATTCTCACTAACACTTTTCTTAAGGTCCACTACACAGTTCCAAAGCTACTTCCACCTTTAGATTTTTATGACAGCACCCCATTTCAAAATCTATATTAGTTATCTTGTTGCATAGCAAATTATCTCAAAACTTAACTGTTGTAGAACAATGAACATTATCTCACAACTTCTGTGGGAAAGGAATCTGGGCTTAACTGGGTGACTCTGCCATGGTCACTCACAAGGTTGCAGTCAAGCTGCTGATCAGTGTTTAGTCATTTTAAAACTTGATTGGGATTAAAGGATCTACTTCAAAATTCACTCAGGTGGTTGTTGATAGGCCTTAGAAAATCCATTTCCAATCACACTCATCTGGGGCCTGCCACAGGAATACGTCACGATATCATAACTGGTTACCCCCAGGGCAAGTGTATTAGTCTGTTCTCACATTGCTAGAAAGAACTACCTGAGACTGGCTGGTTTATATAGAAAATAGGCTTAGTTGACTCACAATTCCACAGGCTATATAGGAAGCATGGCTGGGAGGCCTCAGGAAACTTACAATGATGGCAGAGGGCAAAGGGGAAGCAAGCATGTCTTACTCTGGTGGAGCAGGAGAGAGAGGGTGAAGGGGGAGGTGCCATACACCTTTAAACCATCAGTTCTTGTGAGAACTCAGTCACTATCATGAGAACAGCAAGGGGGAAATCCACCCCGATGATCCAGTCACCTCCCACCAGGCCTCTCCTGCAACATTGGGAATTACAACTCAGAGCCAAACCATATCAGCAAGAGATCCAAGAGATTGATAAACAGTGTAAGCACTGAAGATAAAAGTGAAGGTGTTTTAATAACCTAATCTTGGAAGTGGTATCTCATCACTTCTGCCATATTATCTTCATTAGAATTGAATCTCTACATTCAGCACATGCTGAATTCAGCACAAGGGAAGGGCTTAGTGAGATTGTGAATTACAGAAAGTGGAGATCATTGGGGGCAGCCTTCGTAGCAGCCTACCATAAGGTGAGTATAGTTGTTTGAGTATTATTATTGTCATTGTTGGCAACATCATTATTCCCAAAGTTGTCATAAGCTAACATTCATTGAGCACTTGCTGGGTACCAACCACTGTGCTAAATCATTTTTCTTGCATTATCTGACTCAATACTTTTGTAAAAATGTTTTACTACATTCTAAAATGTGACTTACCATTAAATTGGAAATATATTAGCAAGAAGTGGCATTTAAAATTATAGCTTCACAGGGAAATTACCTGGTATTTAAACCGTTTGACCTGGGAAAATTAAAAATCCACGTGACTCTTTGAATAAACCCAGTCAGTAGTTCATTAAGTAAAATACCCAAGTGGAAGACATCATGTCCTTGGGAAGTTTCAAAACCCATTGATAATATGCGAACTGTTTCTTTGGCAAGTAGATATGAATGCACTGCAGCATGTTCTTTTGACTTTATAGACTGCAGTCCTTGGTGAAGTTTTATTTGATAGGAGATTTTTTTGATACTTTTACTGGTCTTAGTAAGATATTTTTGATTTAAAGAAAGCATTAATTGTAACTGGTAATTTCAACTTGTTCATTCACTCCTACTTTGAAAGTCATTTAAAAATTGCAATATATGAGTATTCTTTTGTGATATTAATAAAGTCAAAAGTAGAATATAAGAATACGTTATGAAAAGGTCATTAAGTGTGTTCTGAACAGTTATAATTCCACATTCATAGTATGTCTTCATTCACCTAAACATAGTTTAGTTATTACAAATACATGAGAAAAATATTCTTTTTATTTGACTTCCATTGTACTTTCCAAAACATATTTCTATAAGAGATTGGATTGGGAAGTGGATAGATTATATTTTGTCAAAATGTGTTTGAGGCTGTATTTCATTCAAGAATTAAAGATTGTTCTGCTCTTGTCAGTGAGAAGTTGTTGTTGAATTTCTGTAGAACCAGTGTTTCTCTTCCTGCCCCATTGCTGTGTGTATGGGTGCCAGGTTTCTGCCATGATGTTCACTGGCATTCTAAGTTGCTGTGAACTCCTGCTCTTGGTGGTATTCATATTGACACCGTCACCCTCTCTGTAACATGTATTCTCTTCTCTACTTTCTCTTTGACAAAACCAAAATGAGGAAAATTCCCTGCATGTTCTATAATGTATTGATAAAGTGCCTTGTCGTTCTTAGAGAGACTTACATACTGTTCTTTCTCTCGTATCTTTTGCACTGAGTTCGAGCAGGGTCCATGTGAACTGAGCCTAGAGTATGCTCCCTTATGTTGAAACTGTCCAAGGGAGCAGAAGCTACTAGTTACCTAGAATGGTAGTATTTGTGAGTACATATGTGGCCCTTTATAGGGAGACTCTAAGATGTCTTCATCTAAGGGTCTCACAGTAACAATATTTTGAGGAGGGGCTGAGCTTTAAAGAAAGTCGGCTTTGTCTTTACTGTTGGCTTCCAGCTGTTCTTAGAACTGCCTCCTATCCAGCACCAGCTCATTGCCTAAGACCACACTGAATGTTTTTCCTGTGATCCTGTCTTCCTTAAGGGTAGCATTTTCAAGTTGGGATCCTTGGCGGGGGTGGTTCATGAACGTCCTGAAGATATATGTCAATTTTGTATATGTGTCTTTTTCCAAGACAGAAGCCATAGCGTTAATCAGTTCCTCAAAACATCATTGACCTGAAAAAGGTTAAGAACCACTGCTTTAGGGCAAATTCCTCCTGAGGTCTTTTCAAGTCCATCTTGGAATTTGACCTCCCTTAGTCCCACTCCATGAACCCCCTCTAGACATGACTGTAAGTGGCAGAGTTTGTAATGGAGTAGTCAGTGTGTTTGCTGCTGTTCCCCTTAAGCCCTGACTATTAACCCTCTTACCCTCCCATCTCCAAATTAAAGAATAATTCTGATTGGAGACTTAAATGGCTTTTAATAAATTGCATTCCTAGAATCCATTAGTAATTTCTTAGTAAAATAAAAAGGTCTTGCAATTACATGAGAAATGTGTACTTTCTGAATTGCCTTGTATTCATGATATTATTTGATGCTGAAAACAACCCTGTGTTACAGAGTAATAACTCTGTGTTATTACCATTATACTGTGTTATTACCATTTTAAATTTAAGGAAGCAGAAGTCACACAGCAAGACAGTGACACATGTGGGATTAATGCTCAGTTTACTTGAATCCTAACTCCGGGCTCTTACTCACACAATCCTGTTTCCAAGGCTTCCTTATCCTGGAGCTAAACATAGGTTTAACAGGACTTACAAAACTGAGTTTCTGACTTTGCCACCTCTGAGGGCACTCTACCTTTTTTTAGATTCTGCCAAACAGCTAAGAATATTCCCAGTCCATCTGCTACCCCTTACCCCCTTCCCAACCCTGCCTACTATGTCCATGGAAGATGCTGATGGCTGCTCATGCTACTAATTTCTGCTTCACCTCTGCAGCTTTCCGCTGTCAGTCTCACATGTGCTGGAGGATCTAGGCAGGCTCCATAAGGATTGGGTCCCAGGGTGACAAGGGTGATAGTCACTGGGGAGAATTCAGCTTCACTACCCTTTCTCTTTGTTAATATCTCTGGCACATTGTCCTTGATCCAGAATTAGGGGATTGGGCTGTCCCTTCCCTTAGTATGATTTCTTTTCAGACTTGTCTGCATTCTGGGGTGTAAGTAGGACTTCATCTCATGCTGGAATCCTGCTAACATTCACCACAGGCTGCTACCTGGTAGCATCTTTAGCTTGTCTTGACTTCACAGTGGGGTGGTTTGATGCTCACTACTCAACTGAGTCTCCAGCTGTGTGTTTTAGATTCCAGGTGTCAAAGTCAAATCACTCCTATAAATAAATCAGAGCTTGGTAAAAGCAGTAAAGAAAGTTCTTAGAGCCCAGGTTGCACATACCAGCATATAGGTATGTTTTGGTTTAGCCCACACAGTGCTTTGAAAAATTTCACAGTAGTTTATGTATGGAAAAAGAAAAATATTTTATATAAACATCTAGATTTCCAACGTTGTGGGGAAAGTCCTATTGCAACACTGGACCTGCATTTCTGTGTCAGGTGAGTGACTTGCTGCCTATTTGGAATGGGGCGTGTGGGCTTCAGTTGGCCAAAACTCCCACTGCCATTGATTTGGTCATTTATGTTAATGGCCTGGCCTATAGAAGCACCTAAGTTTGAAATTCTTTATCTTGACTAACATTTTTAGTTTATCAATGAAGAAAGTAAGCCTTAAAGAGATGGAATGACTTGGCGACTGCGCTGTCTAATACGGTGGCCACTAGGGTCCTGTGTAGAAATGTGGCTCCCAGTGTGACTGAGGAGCTGAATCTTAAATTTTATTTAATTTTCATGAATTTAAATATCAATTTTAAAACTATAGCATCAGGAAGTATTTTTCTGTTAAACACAACTCTCATTTTAATTGTGTTGTGTCTTACAAGATATTATTGATATATTACAGTGCACAATTACTTTCTACTTTTTAAAATGGGGCTACCAGATATTTAAGAGTTACAGACATTTCAGAGTGCGTTTCTGTTGGACAGCAGTGACCTGACAGAAGTCTCCCAGCTTGTTAATGGCAGGTCTGGAATTTGTCAGAAGATCTCCGCAGCTCTAATCATATTTTTTTTCTCCATTATTAAAATGTTACCCAACTGTTCTTCTAATTCTTGAAACTTTTTGTTATTATATACTTCCATAGGAATTAGTTTTTCCTCATTTTTACGTAGCACATGACAGAAAAGAGATTTTATGTAAAGGAAAATTTAGCATCATGTATTAGCAACAATAATACAAAGGTAATTTTAGAGATTAATTTTAAACTTAATATTCATGACAAAGATTTTTTTTTACTTTAAGTGACTGACAATTTTCTCTGAAATATCTATTTAAGAAAACAATTTCAGCATGTTCAAAATGACATTGTGTTTGATTTTGGAGCAGGTATATATTAAAATATAGTGTAAAATTAATGATATATTTTATTGTAGCTTTAAAACTAGACAGAAATTACTATTACATTTAATATATTGAGTTCTTATATTTTATACCTAAGAAATCTTTCCCTTTTTTAAATTTTGTATTTTTAGTTATCTAAATGATAAGATAAAAAGATTAAAACCCTGAACAAAGTATTGGGCATGTGTATAGCGCAACCAAATATAACAATTTAGATAAAATAAAATTGTTTTTGACATTTTACTTATTCAACTTTGAATTGTAACTTACATACATAAAAGTGCACAAATTATAAGCAAACAGCTTGATGAGACTTCACAAACACAACTGTATAACCAGCAATGAGATCAAAACACATGGCAAGACCAGCACCCCAGAAGCTCTCTTGCACTCATCTCATTCAAAAATTGTCTTCCAACCTCAAAGAATAAGCACCATGGTTTAGTTTCACCTGTTTTTGTACTTTGTGTAAATAAAATCAAACAATATATGCTCTTGTGTCTGGCTTCTTTTGCTTAACATTGTGAGATCCATCCAGACTGTTACATGTAGTTGTAGATTGCTCATTTCTATTACTATGTTATTACCATTGTGTAAGCCTATCAAAACTTACCCAATTTACTGCTGATGGATATTTGGATATTGATTGCTGCCACTATGAATGCTCTAGTTCTTTTAACTCTTTTTTTTAAGGGACTAGCAGCTTTTTGATATGATTGATGACTATTTTAAGCTAATGCAACATAAGGACTATTTTGAGTGCATTTACAAAATTTATTATTGCTCCTTTCCTAGTGTTACTTAATATCCTCATACAACCCAACTATAATTCCTGATCTGTTAGTACAAATTTTAAAATATGACCAAAAGTAAAAACAACTGAAACTTAAATGTTCAAAACACAAGCATTTGTAGCATTGTTAAGCCAGGGGATAAGCTGCACAGAGGACTGCTTAGACGTATAAGCTGGCTTGTCTGTTCTTTGTTAACCATTATTCATGCTTACTGGGCATGTGCTTTTTCTCTTTCTATATTCTAAAGGGGTCATTTTAAAAATGATTATTTATTTATAAAAATACAATAACAACAGACCCACCAATTACCTTTTGTTAAATCAGTTTCCTGAAACAAGTTAACAAAACCCTGGTTTAGAAATGCTACCTCTGGAAAAATGCTGGTTGAGAAATTCTACCACTGGAAAAATTCAGAATATAACTGAGCAGTTGAGAGGAATATTACAGAGTTAATGTAAATATCTAGTGAGTCGTTAAACTAGCTGTAAAAGTGTTTCTAAGTTAAAATTTTATGATTTTTAAATTCTGATGTGCTAGCTGAAGTGAACAGTGATGAGAATAAGAATTACATATAGTGACTCATATTCAGCAATTTATTACATACATTGTTTTCTCAGTAGTCTTGCTTTATTATAGATAAATGGCAAAAGGGCAGTGGTGATCTTTGATGTATAAAAATGTAATTGATTTTACTTTTATTACTTGTGATAATTTAAAGTTTGCTACCATACAAATTATGATAGAAAAAATTAACAAAATATTTGTGTAAACAAAAATATGTCCTATTTAATTTTTTATTAAAATAACAATGTTCTAAATTACTTAAGAACATAAAAAGGAAAGGTCTATTCATTATATTCAAATAATTAACAGGGGATTCCTATCTAGTAATTGAGGGAGACCCTAAAAATATTGGTATTCAAAAGTAGTAAGTTGTACCTAGTGACATTTTTTAAATTCAAGATTCATACTGGTTTCACCTCCCAATACTAGTTATACTTGTGAAGTTTGGAGGTAAACTGCTCAAAAATAAATAAATAAATAAATAAATATATCTAGAGTATATCATACATTTTAGGGAGGTGTGTTACATTCAGTTCATTTGAAAGACTGTAAATTGTAGAAACATTTAAGGATACCAAATTATAAGTTGAGTTTAAGTGTAGCTTATTCTGTATATTATAGTTTATTTTTGGAAATAAGGCCTTAGCAATAGAATGAATTTCTTTCTGTGACAACTTAAATCTTTATTAAAAAAATTCTCATTCTGTTTTCTGAAATACAATATAGCCAAAGAAAATTATTATTAGTTGAGGAGAGGTAAATTTAAAAGGTTTAGTTTGATGCAACTCGTGTTACATGAGTAGCCATATAAAGATATAGAGTCAATATATTAGTTTTTGTTGTGTGTCAATTTCAGAATCTTAGTGGCCTACAACAACAAACTTGGAATAATGAATATAATTGTGTTCACAGGTCTGCAGTTTGGCTGTGGTTTGGTGATGGTGGGCAGGGCTTGGCTGGGGCTGATTTGCCTGGGCCTGGACACCAGGTCTTTGATCAGTTTCAGGTCAGCTCCACATGCCTCCATTTTACAACCTGGGCTGAAAGGATTGCATTACCTGGAGATGCTCTTCAGATGGTGGGTCATAGGAACCACAAAAGGGCAAGTGTTAACACTTGGGAACAGGCACACCATTATTTCTGTCCACATTCCATTGGCCAAACGTTAATGGGATGGTGAAGAATGCTCTGCCCCTCCGAGTGGTAAGCACTGCAGAATGCATGGCAGAATGTGGATGTATCATTACAGTAGTGAGGGATGAAGAATTTGGCATGATGAGTTCATCTACCACAGTCAACTTCAAAATAGGTACAGTGTGAAATAAAAGAAGAAAACTTCCTTATTTGAAGAATCATTTTATAGTGATACAGACTTTTAAAATATTAACATCAACATAATTTTAGTCACATTTGTGTACTTTTAGGCGGAGGGTATGAGTTAATAATGAATAAGCACTTAGCATAAATTCTAAACAAAAGGCAATAAGTAAATCTGTCCTTTAATTCAGCAAACTTCCTGAAGCACCTAGTGTCCATAACTTTCTGGGATAATATAAATTTGGTTATTCAAGTGCTGCTATCAAGTAATAGAATGTAAATAAAGTAGTCTGTTAAAAACTTTCATACTGGATTTTTATGACTATTCTTTCAGTGACATAGAACAAGTAGAACATTTTTACTTAAGTATTTTGACATTTAATATGTTGATTTTAGCAGCAAAAGATGATATGATTAACCATTTTATTGATTGATTGATTGATTGATTGATTGAGATGGAGTCTCACTCTGTTGCCCAGGCTGGAGTGTAGTGGTGCAATCTTGGCTCACTGCAACCTCTGCCTCCCAGGTTCAAGCAATTCTTCTGCCTCAGCCTCCTGAGTAGCTGGGACTACAGGTGTGCGCCACGACGCCCAGCTAATTTTGTATTTTTAGTAGAGACGGAGTTTCACCATGTTGGCCAGGATGGTCTCAATCTCTTGACCTCGTGATCCTCCCGCCTTGGCCTCCCAAAGTGCTGGGATTACAGGCGTGAGCCACCATGCCCGGCCAGGATTTATTTTTTTAGGTACTAATTTATGTGGATTAAAAACAAAGAAACAAAACAAACAAACAAAAAACAGAACAAGTTAGAGCATGGCCCCACAGATAGGCTTGAGCATTTTAAATTTTATGTAAACTTCTGGTGAACATATGTAATGCTTTACTTTTAAAAAATTACCATATTCACTTAGATTCTTTTATTTAAAAATTAAGTGAAAAATATGTCAGTAATATTTAATGATTTAGCACCTACTGTGGCAACTATAAATGTTCATACCCAAGACTTTGGGAAAAGGTTGTGGAAAATTTATAAAGGCAGATGTCGTCTCTCTGTTTTTAAGAATGTATCTGATTGTAAGCATTTCTTTTAAACACTCTTTTCAAGTTGCACATTCATTAATTTCTTCCATTTAATGTGAGGTTTGTGTGTGTATATATGTATGTATGTGTATATTATTATATATGTATGTTTGTGTATATGTGAGAGTGAGCAAGTGACTAGTCACTTATTATATTGGCCTTTAGAAGATCACCAAATAGCAATTTGTTTATATTTCATCTTTTAAAATTTGATTCTCTATGTCCCCTTAAGAATGTCAGAAACTGAAAACTGGTCTTTAGGTCCACCAAACATAGACTTGATTTGTCAGTGGCTGTTTCCCATGAGTCGTCTTGACATGCTTTTTATGCATATGATAGAAGAAGCAATGAGAAAAGCAGGTGTGTTTTGACATGATCTTTTTGTGAACAGGGCTTGCTCAGAATATTTCCAGAGTAGGAACTTGTAGATTCTTGTTAAGGCCTGATAAATGAAGCTCTAAAGGCTCTATAAAACTAGTGAATGCTGTAATCCCAGCACTTTGGGAGGCCGAGGCAGGCGGATCACGAGGTCAGGAGATCGAGACCATCCCGGCTAAAACGGTGAAACCCCGTCTCTACTAAAAATACAAAAAAAATTAGCCGGGCGTAGTGGCGGGTGCCTGTAGTCCCAGCTACTTGGGAGGCTGAGGCAGGAGAATGGCGTGAACCCGGGAGGCGGAGCTTGCAGTGAGCCGAGATCCCGCCACTGCACTCCAGCCTGGGCGACAGAGCGAGACTCCGTCTCAAAAAAAAAAAAAAAAAAAAAAAAAAAACTAGTGAATGTCCGCCAATTACCAGTGTATTTGTTTTCTAACTTAAAGAAATACTTCTTGTCATTAACTTTGTCCCTTTAGAAATATGTTTATGTGGAAAGAATATTAGTTTTATTTTTGTTTTTTCTCATCTCTGTTTTATTAATTTTTTTTTTAACTTCACTGGTTGATTGCTTAAGCACTTACTTTAACAGTCTGGTTGGCATCAATCAGAACAAAAGGAACATTTCTACTGACTACTTAATTCTTTCATAAAAGTCCTCCTTTCTAGGCTCCACAGCATTTTAATGACAAGAGTTATAATTTTTAACTATAACACCTACAAATTATTTCTTGAATTTTGATTTATGTCTCACTAGATCACATCTAATTTCCTCTCTGTCTGGGACTATTCCAGTGGTAACTGGGTCACTCAAAAAACAGAACCTATTGGCATGATGTGGGCCACATGGATAAGTTTTTCATATAATTGTGTTTACTGTTTTCCAAATACATATCTAGGATCTTCCCAAGTTGTAATATTTCTAATGTCCTTGTCTGCGTTACTAGATATGACAGCTATATCTCTTGGCTTCACTAATGTAGTAGGTTGTCACTTGGTTTTCCTGCTTTCACCCCAATCTTCCACATAGTAGCCCAGTAGGTTACAAAGATGATTCTTTGTAACATATAAATTAAGTAATGTTACTTCCCATCTCTCTTTGAAGGAAATTTTAACTCTTCTCTTACTACTTTGTTATACTTCTGTAACAAGATTGCTGTGATGTGGGCTTTTTAGCTGTTCTCAAGCTCACGCCTTTCTCATGATCTTTATAACTGCCCTTATTTTTGTCTGGAATGTACTTCCTTGATGTCTGTTCATCACTGGTTCCTCTTTATTCAGGCCTCTGCTCAGATTTCAACTATTTAGAAAGGCTTTTTCCTGAAAAGTTGACTAGTTATTTGTCATGTAACAAATAACTCCAAAAACCTAGCACCTTAAATCAACAAACATAAACACTTCATATTTCACACAGTTTCCTGAGAGTCATGAATCCAGAAGCAGCTTATCTGGATGGTTCTAGTCCTAGGTTTCTCAGGAAGTTGTAATCAAGCTGCAGTCTCCAGGGAGGATCCACTCCCAAGCTCATTCACGTGGCTGTTCCTCACTGTTGTCCAGATACCTGTTTCTCTCTGTGTGCGCCCCTCCTCGGGTTGCCTACATGTCCTCATAACATGGCAGCTGGCTTCCCACAGAATGAGGAATCCCAGACAGGAGGAGCCCAACATGGAAGCCACAGACTTTTTTATAACCTCATCTTGGTGGTGACATAACACCACTTGGGACATAGGCTGTTAGTCAGCCAGCCCCATTATGGTACCATGTAGAAGGGGAGTACACAGGATGTGAGTACCAGGTGCTAGAGGTCACTGGGGACAATCTGGAAGGTTAGCTCCTACAGTAGCCCTGCCATCCCTGGAGATCTCACAGCTGCTTTTAAGAAGCCGATGCCTTCTATGTTTTCACCTCTGAACAATCTATAGAAGTTATACCTCTTCCTTTGTGTATAAGAAAATACCCTATATAAGCAGAAAAATGATAATAGTCCATCCACCCAAGTACTGTCTATCCCATTATCCTACATTATTTTCATATTTGCACTTATTAGCTGAAATCTCATTTTGTATTTCCTTGTTTATTATATATCTTGTTTGTCTGTCTTCCACCATGCGATTGTAAGGACCTTTAATACAAAAACTGGTATTTCATGTCCATGCCCACTATTCTAATCCTTGAACTTAAAACAGTGCCTGAAATATAGTAGGTAATCAATTATTTGATAAATGGATAAAATAGTTGGCCTTTTCAAGCCCCAGAAGTTTTATTTTAGACATTTTATATGGCTGTGTTTCCACATGCATTCCTGTATTCTAAAAGAGTTTACTAAACATGAATGTTATTACTTTAACTCATATTTACTGGTTTATCTTATATAGAAAGGCACTATGCTAGATACTCTGAAGTTACAAACACAAAGAAGACACGGTCCCTACCGTCAAGAAGTCCTATTGGTAAGGAATGGCAGACTATGATACGGATCATATGAGAACAAGTAAAATTGCAAGGCTGGGGAAGTGTGAAACTTGGAGAAGGCTACACAGTAGAATGCCTTCTTGATATTTTAGGGTTAGTGCAGTTATTATTTTGTCCTGGAATACTGTGTTCCTTTTAACATCCTCAGAATATAAGAAAGAAGGCAACCATATTTTTTTAGCAACAACAAAAAAATTAGGAAGCCTGGTCTACGTAAGTATTATAGAAATGGTAAATTATTTAATCATATATTTTTAACAACCACCTCACTGAAATGACTAAAAATACATGAAACTGTGTTTCATTACATATGATCATCATATATAGAGCAGTTTGCTCATACATTAAATAGCTCTAGATCAGTGTGTCTTTAGAATAAGTTCTCTGAGTAGTGATTGTTTTTTATAGTATTATTTGCTGTTGTTAGCTTCTTACTGTAATAATTCTGCCTTCCTCTCATTAAAGTTGCTTCATCTAATTTTTCTGTGGACTTGAAAGCCAAATAACCAACCTGGATAAAATTATATATAAAAAGAATATAAAAGACACCCACCCCCTCCAAAAAGTTTTCTTTTCAATTAAGTTTTAGGGAGGTTTTATTTTTAGTCTAGCTATTTATGGCCCATTTTTACATCTGTCTGATATTCCCCTATGCTTTTAACAACTTTTCTTAACAGAGTGTTATTTTACTTAAGTTTTCTGTTGAACTTTTTGCCTCTGTTCAATATACTGTAGTTGGCTTTGGAGTCAGAATGCCTCATAGCTCTGCCAAGTTTTAGTTTTATGTCCTCAGGCAAGTTGTTGAATCTTTCAGAACCTTTTTTTTTTTTTTTTTAAATCACATCTTCTTTACAAAGTTGGTATACAAAGTCAATGAATATGTTAAAGGCTAGGATGTTACTTGGCAGTCTGTTTCCTTCCCCAGTCATTCACCAGGTTGAATTGACTTCCCACCCCATCACTGAGTGACCAGTGACAAATGCCTTGGTGAACAGCATCCGTAATGAATACCAGTTTCATAGAAATGTCACAGTATATCTCCTGCAATGTAGGGCTGGCCCAAGACCACTCCTGCAGGCACTTTTGTTTCCTCAGATCATCAGTGCAATTTGGGGCGTGATCCACGTTGAGTTTCACCACAGAGTGGTACCAGAATTTGGCCCTATGGGAAATCCAGAGTCCAAGACTGGCCATAAAATTAAACTTTTTCTCTAGGTATCCTTCCGAGATTTGACGCCCAGAAGCAGATTTAAGTGCTATGTTGTATTTCACTCCCTGCCTGGAGTTCACAACAGGGAAACTCCGTCACAGGCGTTTCAGCCTTTGAAAAGAGTAAGATGATGGGAGTTTCATAGGGGGATGTATCAGTTACTGTGGATACTTAAAGTTAACAAAACATTCAGAGTAAGGAATTTTTTAATTAAAGTAAGTTCTACAGCATCCATGAATTACCTACATTTTTCCACTCCCTCACATACTTTCTCAAGTTACCCACCCTTGTGACTCATTCAGTAGCAAAATCAGTGAAGTCGGCATTCTCTTTTAGTCATCAAGCAAAAATGGGTCATCTCCCTGGCCTACTAGATTGTCTGGTTTGCCCCAGAAAATCTCTTTTCAGTTTGGCCCTCTTTCTGTTGCCATGTTTCCTTGCTTTTCCTGGAGGTAGGGGGGCGCCGGGGAAAGTGGGGGACAGTTTCCACCTATCATCAAGAACTTGCCATGACAGCCAGCTTCTTCACTCCAGGTTGCTCTCTTCTTAATGTTATATTTATTGTATTCATTCATCATTCCTGCCTAGAGAGCAGTGCTAAGATTCTGTCCTTGTCTTCTTTTAAATTCAGCTGAAATTCATTATCTGTTATGTGCCATGCACTGAATTAGGCCCTTAATTTAACATTATGGATTTAAAAAAATGAGGCTAAGAAAGGTTATGTGTCCAAAGTGACAAGGTAGTAAAAGATAGAAGGAACTTGAATGCAAATCTGTTGACTCAAAATTCAGTTTTCTCTCTACTTTAGCATGACTCCCCTTTCCTCCATGCATGCCAAGAGGTTAAAAATCACTGACGATGGGATGCGAGCTGGAAGCCTTCATTAAGTCATGCTTGAGCCTGTGCCACTGATATCCTCCCTCCCAGGCTCAGGTGACTGCTGTAATCAGTGTGCCCCAGGTACTATTCTCTGGGTCCAGTTTGACTGTGAATTTCCAGCCACTGGCTTGTAGAATAGACAAAAAAGCTATCACCTTTGAATTAAAAAGGACTAATCTTAGAATAGATTTAGCAAGTTAGAGTAGAAAACCCCCACTAACAAAGAAGAGCGAACTTATTATTAAAGGTATAGAAGTTGAGGAACTCACCTCTGACTTGTTTTTTAAGATATGGATTTGATCTTTAATCACAAAGGCATTACATTGAATAAATAACCTTTCCCTTTCAAGCTAAAAAGCAACAACCCTCTTCTAGAAAGTTCACAGAATTTAATATTTCTTTCTTTTTTGTTTGAACTTCTTTAATAACCTTAATGAAAATTAAGGTAGTTTCCATGGGTTGAAACCATTGGCAATTATTGATTAATTGTATTATTGGAAGAGAATAGTAAAAACAATTCATTTGGGTTTTATAATGTATAATTTTACTTTACCTTTGAGTCTGTGTTTCACCAGATAGAAAATTACTTTAGAGACTTTAATGATGCCACAGTGTGAACACCCATCTCAGGAAGATGAAGAAACTATGTATTTTCCCAATTTGGAATGGTGTAGACCTGAGTTCAGGTCTATAAAATTTGGATTTTTTGTTTGTTTGTTTGTTTTGTTTTTGAGACGGAGTCTCGCTCTGTTGCCCAGGCTGGAGTGCAGTGGTGCAATCTCGGCTTACTGCAACCTCTGCCTCCCGGGTTCAAGTGATTCTCCTGCCTTAGCCTCCTGAGTAGCTAGGACTACAGGTGCGTGCCACCACGCCAGTCTAATTTTTTGTATTTGTAGTAGAAATGGGGTTTCACCATGTTAGCCAGGATGGTCTCCATCTCCTGACCTCGTGATCCGCCCACCTAGGCCTCCCAAAGTGCTGGGATTACAGGCATGAGCCACTGCACCAGGCCTGGATTTTATAGTTAAATACCTGGATGACCTTTGGTAAGTTACCTAGCTACTTGGCCTTTGTCGTTGCCTAGTAAAGTAAGGATTATGTTTCTGGAGTTATGTGTGTAATGGTAAGTTACAACTTCTAGGAAAACAAGTTAGAGTATTTACCTTACTAATGGTGAATTAGTAGCACCATCTTTCTATACAAAGACTTCATAGTTGAAAATTAACTATATTAATGATTTTATGTAACACTAAGGAAATAAAAATAGAAGTGACATAAATCACTAATGATCCGCTTTTAAGATTTCCTTTAAGGAAATTTAGTTTAGCATATTACAAGATATTTTTAACAGGCATTTTTATTTCTCTTATGCAGTATATTTTGAATGCTCTTTGAAAGGCTGCTGTTTCCATAGTTAATTCATTTTATTCAAAGACAGAACATCAAAGCAGCAAAACTCAATTAAGTGGAATAGTCAGGAAATGAAATATTCTGGTGAATTTAGGTGGCAATGTTAAATAGAAAGCTTATTACCTTCTCTACCCATATGGCTTCTGGTCTCTGTATTTAAATCATTCCACTGAATTTGAGTTTTTATTGAAATCTCTGCTAATTTTTTTCCTAGAAAAATGAAGGAAAATCAATTAAAGAAACTTCTTGTTTCAAATTATATTATTGAAAAGCATTTCAAACTGTATTAATTGCTTGACTTCATTGGTAAAAATGTTCATCATTGGAAACATCAGTTCTCTTCCAGTACTGGCAATACAGATCAGATAGGAAGATTCAACTAAATGTGTATTGTCCCTTGGACCTAGCAATGTTCCGGCCATATGAGTACATTTTTATCTTTCGCTTTCTTCCAAAAATTGAGTGTGAAATAAAACTCCATTTATTTTAAATGAGCATCATTTAGTGAAAAGAAAATCAGCATATTAATTGATATGATATAAACTTAAAAAAATAGTTTGTGTAGCAATTTTAAAAGTGCAGGCCGGGCATGGTGGCTCACACCTGTAATCCCAGCAGTTTGAGAGGCCGAGGTGAGCAGATCACCATCAGGATTTCAAGACCAGCCTAGCCAACATGGTGAAACCCCATCTCTACTAATAATACAAAAATTAGTCGGACATGGTGGCATTCTCCTGTAATCCCAGCTACTCAGGAGGCTGAGGCAGGAGAATCGCTTGAACCCGGCAGGTAGAGGTTGCGGTGAGCCGAGATCGTGCCATTGAGCTTCAGCCTGGGCAACAAGAGTGAAACTCTGTCTCAAAAAAAAAAAAAAAATAAAATAAAATAAAATAAATTAAAGTGCAGAAAAGTTTTAAGAGGTAAAATAAGGCATTCACAATTGACAAAGGAATCTCTATAAAATTTTAGTGTTTATTCTTTATTTACAGAATCAATGGCAAATGGGTATGCAACTCTTTTTTAAAATCTAAGTTGTTTTGTTTTGCTTTTTATGTATTCTTATTTCCATTTTAAATTTTAGAGAAATAAGAAAAAAATAGATGAACAGATATGAAACTTCCCTTTTTAGTATTAAAAAAAAACTATCCTTAAGTTAACATTGCGGTATCTTACTGGATATGCAGAAAAAAAGAACAAATTGTTTTTAAACATATTTTTATCCTGCAAGAAGTTGACGTATAAACAGTAAGTTGCATACCTGTTTTTTAAAATTCAGAAAAAAATTGCTTTAAATAATGTGACTATTCAGAAGCCACATTTTAAGAGATTTTTTTTTTAATTTTATTTTCTTACACAAAGTGTTGAATGAGCAGTATTTGTCACAGTGATTTTTGTGTTGGTTTGCTTTCAGTTATTTTCGTCACAATAGGGAATGGAAGCCTAACAGAAAAATGCATCCATGAATTTTCAATATTTGTTTTATCTTACATAGATTACTTACTAATCTATGTTTTGTTGAAATCTTGTGAAAGTTATTTTAATTCTGTAGTGCAGTAGTATCACATATATATTTTCATCAAATATATAGTGATATTGTATACATTAATTTAAATTCAGAATGAGAAATTAAGCTCCTAGCATTTTTTAATTTTTGAGTTCTGAAGTTAAAAATGTGTAAAATTATTTTGTATATTCCTAGTGAAACACCAGCCCAGAAAATATTAATATACTCTGGTTATATTTTGTTTCTGTTCAGATTCATTAAAAAAAACTCTGAAAGAAAAGATGATGGAAATACTTTCTGCCCCACACAATAAATATCAGGTATATTTTGCATATCGATAATACAGGGTTGTTGTTCTTTCTGCCTTATGGGAATTTTTAATGAATCCTGGCCTTGTTTTTATTTTTCGAATGGCTGTGTTGTATTCTCTGATGCATTTAATATGGGGATGATTTGCTGGCTTCTGTCCGTACTTTGGCAACTACGTTCATTCATTTATTCATTCATTCATTTATATTTCCTATAATTACTTTTATTAACTCTACTATAACATTTAGTGTGTTTCAGTTTAGAAAAATATTGATTTTTAAATAAACAATGAAAAACAAAATACACAGAATAAAATACGCCGTTCTATCTCATGTATTTTTTTTTGTAAAAAGATAGTTTTGTGTGTGTGTGTGTTTTTTTTTTTTTAATTAAAGGCAACTACTTTTAGATCAGAAGAGTTTTTGTTGGTTTTTGCTCTTTTTGTATTGTGGTGTGTGTGTGTGCGTGTGTGTTTGGTGGCCCCTGAGGAAAAGCTAATAACCTCTCTATTTTTTGTTTGCCTACATATACTGCTAATTATGTATCCATTTAGATAGCTGCTTAATGTGTATTCCTAAGTTTGTTGCTTTGAGTCAAGGGCTAGTATTCTTCATTCATAAATTTGTGGTATGGAAGAGATGGACTAGTTGTAAGTATGGTAGTTTTTATTCCATCATTGAATAACTAATAAAGTAGTCACAAAATTATGCTCATTAGGAGTGGCATTTAATAGTGGGCACTTTAAATTTTTAAACAAAAAATTTACCCAGTGTGTTTTCAAGATTCTAAAGCAAAAGTGAAAGAACTAAGCATGAATACTGACTAAAAACTGTCTTAATTATCTTAGTTACTTTTATTAATGCAGGTTTATGGAGGGTAGGAGGATAGGTTGTATAAAGGATTTAAAAGTAAATTTCAAGATACTAGTGTGTTTATCCTACTGTCTTGAATCACACTCACAAGAACTACCATGTTAAGTGATTTATTTTTCTTATGAAATAACTCTTCAGAAATTCAGAACATTGAAAGAAGACCATACTAAATCACCAAAAAAGTTTAATGTTTTGTAAGTTAATGCATTTTAAGCATTGTGCATGTAAGATAAACTAAGGCTACAAAAAGGTCACTAGATCTTCTAATGAATAGATACTAGTAATTTTAAATCAGC
Organism: Homo sapiens; assembly: GCF_000001405.40. Lineage (NCBI taxonomy): Eukaryota > Metazoa > Chordata > Mammalia > Primates > Hominidae > Homo > Homo sapiens. The sequence continues at coordinate 168,066,732 of NC_000003.12, read as the reverse complement.
ACCTCACTTGTTCACCGACAAAGTACATGTGAATTGGATGTATAAGTTATTTGTATATAAACTGTAAAGGACTATAAAAGTATAGTTTGTTATGATTGATACTAAAGTAGGTATTAAAGGACACTTTTTTTCTGAATATATGAACACTCATCTACAAGTATACTTTACCTCATAGTGACAGGTTATCTGCAAGGTGATAAAAGATAGAACCAAGATCTTTAGTGGAATAACTGTTCTCCCTGAGAAGTTCTTATTTACATTTTGTCAATGAAAAAATAACAGCAAATAAAGGTAAAATGTCTACTATTCTAATGGGTCTTACTTGAAAAGGATAGTTATAGTTTTATTCTCTATTGCTTGAAAATGAATATGTAATATAATAATAAACATCAGCTACTCATGTTGAAATTACTATGAACACTGAATTATTGGTGGAATCTGGAACTAGTGAGGTTATTCTGTGCCTGAACTTCCTGTTTTCACCTACTTCCCAATTACTTGCAGCTGTCAAAATAATTTTAATCATTTTCAGATACTTTGCAGAAAAAAAAAAAGATCTTAAGCCCTTCGGCCCTAATCAAGGGCCATAAGTCCTTCAGCTAAAAAGATGTTACCCCTTCTCTTCTTGTCTTCTTTTGTATCCCTGCTGAGTCCTTCTGTCTAGTCAGGTCAGTATTCTTTCTGAACATCACTATTATGTTCTAAGATCTTAAACATTTATTCAGGTCACTCACAATTCTGATTCTGTATCCTTGTCTTCTAAACCAGATCAGAGAATCAGAGGATGTTAGAGCAGAAAGAGGCTTTAGAAATCAGTTGATAAGCTCTTTTATTTTACTAATGATGAAATATTAGTTATGAAATACTTTTCAGATTAAAAATTAAACCAGATCTCTGGACCCCTTGCCTCTGGCCAGTTTTTCTATGACATGTTGTTTACAGAAACATGCAAGCAGACATGCAGAGCTCTGCTGAGTCCATGGAGGAACCTAAAGGTTGGATTCTTCCACCTCTGTGTCCAGGTTGTCCACCAAATATGCTTGTTTATTTCCCAGTATGTGGAAGAGTTATTATGGGAAAAGTGAATGGAAAGTCATATACAAGACAAGGAAAACCAAGCAAGCATCTCATTAGACCCATTTGCAATTAGAGTGGCAGTTGTATGCATTTACTGCCTTATTATTTATTCAGTGTCAGAAAAGGATAATGTGTTCGCATTTTACACAGTCATACATACAGAAAAAGAGAGCCTCACTGTAGGACACCTTAAGCATGGGGCAGGGTCTTAGTTTATGTATAATATTTTTCAAGTTATTGAAAATCATAGGTGACAGATAAAAAATAGTCTTCTTTTGCCAAAAGGCTTTTCCTGAAAAATCAGAACCTTTCTTAGCATTGTGCTAAACTGAATCTTTCCTCTCTTACTTAAACTTAAGTCACTGAGAGTATTCAAAACCAATTTAAAATGAATTATGTATAGCTGATGCCACTACTCTTCTCCTTTACTATAAACATGAATATTTAAAATCACAGAATTTTAACATCAGGAGGACATTGGTGACTTAACTCTACAACAGCTTCATTTTATTACTGAGGAAAAAGAAGGTGAAGTTTCTTAGTTGTGAACAGTGAATTTGTTAGTGTCAGGCAGCCAGGAGGTCAGGGTTCTTAGGCCTGTGTTATTTTCCCCAAACTACTTGAAAAATCCTCATTAAATTATCTCTTGGCACCATCTGTTTCTCTTTGTCTTTTTTTCTCTCCTTTTTTTTTTTCCCTTCTGGGATAAACCATCTCAGTCCTATTTAAGTTATATTCGGTAGCTTTAATCTAAATTCTATGAATAAGGTTGAAAAGAAAAATCTGGACGTCTAATTAGAATACTTATATGTATCATCAAAGATTTCTTTTTCTTTGTTTTCTTTAGCATCCAGTCATGCACCTTTCCACAGATCTGGACTGTTTATTGATTTTACTGTGCTTCTTTAAAAATTTCTCATGAAGCCAGGCATGGATTTTGCCTGTAGTCCCAGCGACTCAGGAGGGCGAGGTGGGAGGATCATTTCAGGCCAGGAGTTTGAGACCAGCCTGGGCAACGTAGCGAGACCCTGTCTCTTAAAAAAAAAAAAAAAATCCCCAAGTATTTTGTTAAACAGTACAGATGTATTCTCTGATTTTCATGTAAAAACTTAGAGGTTGCCAATGAATTCCTATGCATATATTGGTGTAAGTCAGGCTATCAAATTCAACTCTTCTTATAACGGACTCAAAAGTTTATCTTGGTATGTAACCATTAACACTTTTCTTATGTAAATTTCATGAAATAATTGATAGGAAAAGTACACTGTTAATATGTGCTGTCTTGGATTTATTTGTTTGTGTAATTCAGTCATTTAACAAACATTCAGCAGGTAACCACATTGTACCAGACTCGAGATGACAATTTGCAGATCATAAAGAAGCTGAATTTCTCATAAGTAGCCCCACAGTGTAGTAGTGGGAGTGACAAATCTCTACCTAAAGTATTATAAAAAGACTGTGGACAGAGATATGCCTATGGCCTGTGGGAGAATATCCCATAGGATATTTAAACTGGACATCCAGGGACATCCACACTGCCTGGGGAAGCCTCCTGGGACCATGGTGAAGGCAAATGCCAATCTCACCTTTACCATCTTGGGTGATATTATGATGCAGGGTGGTATAGTGGAAGTATCTCAAGGCCTGCTTGCCAGAATAAACTTTCACAAAATCCTCCAAATCCTCTTTATGTCACATCATCCTCAGAAGTATCCTGCTATCCACCTAAAACCCACAGTCCCATAAATACTATGCCGCTTCTTTTTTTTTCCTTCAACTTTTAGGCTCGGGGGTACATGTGCAGGATGTGCAGGTTTGTTACATGGGTAAACGTGTGCCATGGTGGTTTGCTGCACAGATCAACTCATCACCTGGGCATTAAGTCCAGTATCCATTAGCTATGCTTCCTGATGCTCTCCCACCCCCCTCCCCCACTCCCCTGCCCTTTCTTAAAGGATGAAGAAAGGATAACTCTTATATTTGACCTTTGAGGGTCTCACCCAGTGATCTCAGCCTTCTACTCTTGAAGGCTTTTACATGCTATGCAGTGATAGTGATTAAAATATTCCCTCTTCCCCCAAATCAGGCAATGCCCAATATCTCAGTGGGGAAGATACCCTATTCAGAGTCACATGTATTCTTCATAGCACATCAGGAAAATATTCATTTTCTGTAGCCAGTATGAAGAAAGGAAGTATATGGGGAAATCTCTGTACCTTTCTTTCAATTTTGCTATGAACCTAAAAGTGCTATTAAAAAAATAAAATCTTAAAAAAAGTATACTTTCACTTTCATCCCAAAGGAGAGCTTGAAGTATCTGAAAGTGAAAAGAAAGTGTAGGATATCACTAAGAATTCTAGTCAAACTGGGGAAGCAGATTTTAGATGTCTAGTGTTGACCTTATCCCCAGTGTTGACTTTGTCTTCATGGTCTTTAGGAGTAACATCTTTTTAAGTTTCCTCAGTGGCAAATGTAAGAAGTTAAGTAGTTTGGTGGTGTTGGGAAATACAATTCTAGGAAGAGTTAGAGGTGGCAGTGGTGGGTGGGCAGGGGTTATTTTGGAGGAGAACTTGTGTTAGGCCTTAGACATGCAGGTGGTGGTGGAAGCAGGATTCCAGCTGTGACCTCTAGCTACCAGCAACTTGCTTCTTAGATTAAATGATCTAAGCTTCTGTTTTGATCTTGATAACTCTATCAAGCATTAGACATATCTAAAATGGAAGGCACGGTGGACTCTCACTCCCTCCGCCTTGGAGCTGGATCCACATTTTATACAGTAGCTAAGCCGGAAATACCGGCACCATCCTTAGAGCTACTTTCATAGTACACTTTGAATCAATCTCTCAGGCATTTTGATTCTATTTCCTAAATATAGTTTGCTTCAGTGCATTCCTCGCCCTCTGTCAATGATTACCACGTGTGCCTGAATATGAGGTGAGGTTCCCCTTTTCCTGCAAAATTACTCCTCAGAGAAGAGGGAGTCTTGAGGTGGAGTCAATGCAAAGCCTCTGCTATTACTGGGTGCTTTCTCCAAGGCTTTATTTTAAATAGAGCATTTGTGAGGAAGACACATTAGCCCCACATGACCCTGTTTAATGCGGTTAGGTATTATGGAGGGCACCTGACAAAATCTTTTTAAAAAAGGGTATGGCAGCTTTGAAAATAGTGTAGGAATTTATTCTTAGGAATGTGTCCTCACAGTTGTAAATGCAAAGTATCTTTATAAACAAACCTTTCCACTAAAAAAAAAAAAAGCCCCAATACATTCAAATTAGGGATATAGAAAGCATGAATGTGTTCCTACATTACAAATGGAAATGGCAACTATCCTGATTTTTACCAAATCCTATCTGAGGCTTAGGACAAGATTTCCAGTGATGGCACCAGACAGAGATTCCACTAATGCTTTACCTCGGGTGATGATGGCTATGCTTGGGAAAACTGTCAGAAGCTAAAAACCTAACTTGAGTTGACACAGACACAGATGTCAGACATGCATGTGTAGAGTTTGGACCAAAGTGTTTTGGGAGATGTGGATGTAGAAAAAAAGTGACATATGTAAATTTCTTGCATATTTCACTATTTTATTTATGTAACTAAAAATAACAAATGCATGATGTGATATAAACAGGTAGCTCTTTCATACAGTCTGTAAATTTTTGGTAAATGTTATTGAATTATACATTCACAAAAGTACACGAATCATAAGTAAACAGCTCAATGAATTTTCACAAAGCAAACAGTGTAGCCAGCTCTCAGACCAAGAATCAGAACACCACCAGCATGAGAATCAGAACATCACTGGCACTCAAAAATGCTCCCTCTTACTCTCTTCCAGTTATTGCCCGACCGCTGCCCCCATGTGCACAGTGTGAATAGTATCTTGTCTTCTATCATCAGAGATTAGTTTCACTCGTGCCTGTTTTTGAACTTTTTATAAATGTAATCATTCAGTAAGTACCACTTTGCTGTCTGGCTCCTTTCCTCATATTATGTTTGTGAAATTCATCTATGAATTATTTAGTTTGTTCACATTGCTGAATGATATTTTGCATTTTGAACAACCACAGCTTATCCGTTCTACTATGATAGATGTGGTTTCAGTTTGGGGCTGTTATGAGTAATGCTGCAATTAAAACTCTCCTATATGACTTTTGGTGAATAAATGTCAAGTACTGGGTTGGGTACATACCTAGGAGTGGGATTTATAGGTCTTAGGATATGCCTTCATCAGCTTTAGTTAACACTATCAGTTTTCTAAAATGGTTGTACCTTTTTCACATCCATTAGCAAAGTAGAAGAGTTCCTTCCTCCACATTCTTGCCAACTATTGGTATTTTGTGTCTTTTTCTATATTAGCTGTTTTGATGGGAGAATGGTAGTACTGCACTATGATTATAATTTGCATTTCCCTGATAACTAATTTAGTTGAGCACTTTTTCATATATTTCGTGGCCAGTAGGATATATTTAAGTGGCTGTTCCTATTCTTTGCCCCATTTTTTTTTTTTGCTTCTCTAAAATCTTGTATATTTGGCAAAAAAAAAATCAACTCTTTAATATGCTTGCTTTATTGGCAAAACTGAAGGTCATGTTATATTCAAACAATATGTAAGTTTAACCTCCATCATACTTTTTTTAGGTTGCTGCGATGACCTGCTAATGAATCCATTAACCTCTACTCTTTCTCAGATGCTCTATCTTCTACACATACAAAGTTAATTTTACAATCATGCAGATGTGATGAAGTTCTTTTTAGCCCTATCTCATTCATTCTTCCCTGCTGTTATTATCCACCTTTCCATCAATCCTATGCTAAACATAGTATTGACAAAACTCCCCTAGAAAAGCTCATGGGGAGTGGGTGAGGCACTCTTACTAAACTTTCAGATTGCCAGTAAATTCGGATTCAGTAGATTTGAGTTGGGCCCTGGGAATCTGTGCTAGTAACAAGCACTCCACATTCTTATTTTAGGAAAGTTTGAGGAATACCGCGGATTATTTTTGATTTTGTTTCATTGTTCCCACACATTCCCTATCCACTGTCTGGATTTTTCTCTATCCTTCCTGCATTGTCATCTGTCAACACCCAATCAAATGTAACCTCTGGGAGTCTAACTGGACTCTTCCAGGCTGAGCACATCACTCTATAATCATATCTTACTTCTGATCTTCCTCACAAAACTATGATGTCATTGGCCTTCCCCATCTCAGCTGATAACATGCAGTAGTTTGATCTTGAGTATAAATGTAGAATCTGAATATTATATGGCCTCCACAGCACGCACACTGGTCCTCTTCTTCCATTACCCTCATGCCTCAATTACTGCAGAACTAGTTTCCCTGCTTGCATCTTGTACCCATGCAGTCTGACTAGAGGGATCAATATTTAAAACCTAAGTCAACATCATTTCTGCTCAGATCTCTGCACTGGAGCTGGCATGGTGGTATGCACCTGTAGTCCCACCTACTTGGGAGGCTGAGGCTAAAGCCTAAGAGTTCATGTCCAGCCTAGGCAACATAGTGAGACCCCATCTCTAAGAAAAAAAAAAAAAACTCTCTAATGGTTCCCAATTTCTCCAAGAGTAAAATCCCAAGTTCTCAGTGGGCTCTGTGACCATTGCACTCTGCCCCTTCCCCTTCCCTTATGCTTTGACTTTCCGGGCTCACCCTGCCTCAGTCACTCTAGACTGCCTGTTTCTCTGAGGACATCCCAGTGTGCTTGCACTGTACAGCTTTCCTATGGGTTACTCCCTCTATTTTGGAAGAGTCTCCCCCTAGATATCTGTAGTACTGACTGACCCCTTCAGTCTTTCAAGTCTTGTCTCACATGTCCCCACTGAAATATCCTTCTCAGTGAGGCCTGCCCTCATCACTCTATTTTAAAATGCAGCCTGGCCCATTCTCCCCACGCCTCCAGTCTCTTTCGATCTCTTTTACTCTACTTCTTTAGCAATAATTACCTGCTAGCATATTATTTATTCTATTTATTATTTATCATCTATATCTCTCTGTGAGAATAAAATCCTCCTAAAGGCAAATTGTTTTTTATGTTTTACTTACAGTATGTCCCCATATATCTGAACAGTGCTTGGCATATAGTAGGGGCCCAATTAATATTTGTTTGATTTGTTGAATGAAATATTTGGGATGCAGTAGTAACCTTAAATAAGACTAAGAGATCTTAAATAGCATCTTTTTACAAGACTTACTTTTATGAACCTTTTCCAAGATATGTTGCATATTTTAATTTTGAAGTAGAACTTGAAATTGGAAGTTTGAATGAAGGTGAGTTAACTTGTGTGTACTGCTACATTGATTTGAAGGAGAAGACAGTGGTAGTTAGGTGCATTCCAACCTAGTTGAGGGTATTCTCTGCAATATGACATAAAACTTTTAGGGGTTAATACTTGAGTATTGGATTTTAGGTTGTTTCCTTTTTGCTAGCATTACTTGCAGCGTCCGTAAAGGCAAGTTCCTATTAAAAAATCAGACAACTTATGGAAATTAGATGTCTTTTAGGTTTGTTTCAAGCACATCAATTTTGAAAACTATTCATAGTTGCATTTTAAGAGCAGTGTGCTTTTGCATATTTTATCCATCTTAAGGGCATTCTTACACATGTTTGCATCAATTTTGGGAGCAAGAAACAACCCCCTCTTCTCTCGCTTCCCCTCTGCCTCTCTTTTTCTCTTGTGCATAATTTTCTGAAATACTATGATGCTGTCCAGCTGCAATCTGATTGCTAGATAAGAGGAATAGTACTATACAGGTTCTATTTATAGATATCTAATTTTAGAATAACTTTTATTTCTATTACTGTGAGTCCTTAAGTTTCCAATATATATGTATATACACTTATACATGTCTTTGAGAATATAGTATTTGCTTTGTAGAGTGCAGCCTTTTTATGGAAGAGGAGGATATTATTCCTCTCAGCTCTCAAAGAGATTCTGTTTAAGAATCTGCTGACTCAGCAGTTCATTATGTCATCCTAGCCTGGCTAACCTTTGGTGATCTCTAATTGTCTTATGTTTTACCTGTCTTAGCCTCTTCTCACAACGTGTATTTATTTGTTATAAGCTTTTGTATAAGAGTAACTCCTATACTTTGGTGTTTCCCGAGGTGCCTAGGCCATTGCTGGGTTATAACATAATAGCTCAGGGCAGCTAAGAGAAGAATCCTTTCATGAGAAGTGAATAGACTTCATCTGATAATGAGAATGATTATTAGTAGCTCAGCACTTGAAAGAATGCCAAAAAGAACAGCATGAAGAAATGTATGTTAAGTCAGCTCATATAATACTTATTTGAAAAAGCCAAATCTCAATTAGTGGCATGAGGAAAAGCCTGGGTATAGTTTTATCCACAAAAGAAAAGGCAGTTAAGCACCAATTCAAGTCATGGTTAAAATTTCCATATAAGCTACTTTACAAACCGTATGCATTAGCAAACTTAAAAATGGACACTTGTGTGAACTATTACAGTAACTTTATTGTACAGTAAAAAAATACTGCAATTGCCAGGCAGTAAAAAAATAGTTAATCTGAATGTTCTTTTTTTTCTCAGCATTCTGAAAGTGTCCGTATTTCAGGACTATTATTTAACTAATGCTAATAGTGTGAGCCTACACACCAACATATAAATTTAATCTCTATTCTGTTATCTATCTCTTTTCTGGGACATGTGGTACTAATGAGCCTACATATTTGGGAATTTAGTTAAAGTGCTGGGGCATAGAAGATGGCAGGGAAAGGTGGAAGAGAATGAAATCTCTTCCAAGTGCATTCAATCATTGAACAAGTGCTGTCGAATATCACTAGATATTAGGAACTGAGGGATTGAGACTGAAGTGGTAGTGAGGGGCTAGGATATAGATGAAAAGGAAAAAGGTGGCTAGTCCCAACCTTCAAGGTACTTAGTTGTTCATTACTTCACTCACTCACTCATTAATTTATTCAAGAAGTATCTATTGAATGCCTTGCTCTGTGTCCCCACCCAAATCTCATCTAGAATTGTAATCCCCATGTGTCGAGGGAGGGACCTGGTGGGAGGTGAGTGGATCATGGGGGTGGTTTCCCCATGCTGTTCTCGTAATAGTGAGGGAGTTCTTACAAGATCTGATGGTTTAAAAGTGGCACTTGCCCCTTGTAAGAGGTGCCTTGCTTCCCCTTCATCTTCCACCATGATTGTAAATTTCCTGAGGCCTCCCTAGCCATGCGGAACTGTGAGTCAGTTAAACCTCTTTTGTTCATAAGTTACCCAGTCTCAGGTAGTATCTGTATAGCAGTATGAGAATAGACTAATACATGACTACAATTCAGTGTACCAGGGTGTATTATTTCATTTTCATGCTGCTGATAAAGACATACCCAAGACTGGGCAGTTTACAAAAGAAAGAGGTTTATTGGACTTACAGTTCCACAAGTCTGGGAAGTCCTCACAATCATGGTGGAAGGTGAAAGGCATGTCTCACATGGCAGCAGACAGGAGAACTTGTGCAGGGAAACTCCTTTTTTTAAAACCATCAGCTCTCGTTAGACTTATTCACCGTCATGAGAACAGCACAGGAAAGACCTGCCACATGATTTGGTTACCTCCCACCGGGTCCCCCCCTCAACATATGGGAATTCAAGATGAGATTTGGGTGGGGGACACAGCCAAACCATATCATTCCACCCCTGACCCCTCCCACATCTCATGCCCTCACATTTCAAAACCAATTATGCTTTCCCGACAGTCCCCCAAAGTCTTATCTCATTTCAGCATTAACTCAAAAGTCCACAGTCCAAAGTCTTATCTGAGACAAGGCAAGTCCTTTCTGTTTATGAAGTTGTAAAATCAAAAGCAAGTTAATTACTTCCTAGATACAATGAGGGTACAAGCATTGAGTAAATACAGTCATTCCAAATAGGAGAAATTGGCCAAAACACAAGGGCTGGGGGCCCCACGCAAGACCAAAATCCAGCAGGACAGTCAAACCTTAAAGCTCTGGAACTATCTCCTTTGATTCCATGTCTCATATCCAGGTCATGCTGATGCAAGAGGTGGGTTCACATGGTCTTGGGCAGCTCCGCCCCTTTGGCTTTGCAGGGTACAGCCTCCCTCCCAGCTGCTTTCATGGGCTCGTGTTGAGTGTCTGTGGCTTTTCCAGGTGCATGGTGCAAGCTGTTAGTGGATCTGCCATTCTGGGGTCCAGAGGACAGTGGCCCCCTTCTCCCCAGTAGGGACTCTGTTTGGGAGCTCCAACTCCACATTTCTCTTCCACACTGACCTAGCAGAGGTTCTCCATGAGTGCCCTCCCCCTGAGCAAACTTCTGCCTGGGCATCCAGGCATTTCCATACATCTTCTGAAATCTAGGTGGAGGTTCCCAAACCTCAATTCTTGACTTCTGTGCACCCACAGGCTCAGCACCGTGTGGAAGCTGCCAAGGCTTGGGACTTGCACCTTCTGAAGCCATAGCCCAAGCTCTATGTTGGTGCCTTTCAGCCATGGCTGGAGCATCTGGGACACAGGGCACCAAGTCCCTAGGATGCACACAGCACAGGGACCCTGGGCCTGGCCCATGAAACCACTTTTTCCTCCTAGGCCTCTGGGCCTGTGATAGGAGGGGCTGCTGTGAAGACCTCTGACATGCCCTGGAGACATTTTCCGAATTGTCTTGGTCGTTAACATTTGGCTCCTAGTTACTTACGCAAATTTCTGCAGCCAGCTTGGATTTCTTTTCAGAAAATGGGATTTTCTTTTCTGTCACATTCATCAGGCTGCAAATTTTCTGAACTTTTATGCTCTGCTTCCCTTTTAATACTGAATGCCTTTAACAGCACCTGAGTCACCTCTTTTTTTTTTTTTTTTGAGACAGAGTCTTGCTCTGTCGCCCAGGCTGGAGTGCAGTGGCATGATCTCTGCTCACTGCAAGCTCCGCCTCCTGGGTTCACACCATTCTCCTGCCTCAGCCTCCCGAGTAGCTGGGACTACAGGTACCTGCCATCACGCCCAGCTAATGTTTTTTTTGTATTTTTAGTAGAGACGGGGTTTTACCATGTTAGCCAGGATGGTCTTGATCTCCTGACCTCATGATCCCTCCACCTCGGCCTCCCAAAGTGCTGGGATTACAGGCGTGAGCCACCGCGCCCGGCCCTGAGTCACCTCTTGAATGCTTTGCTGCTTAGAAATTTCTTCCACCAGATCCCTAAATCATCTTTCTCAAGTTCAAAGTTCCACAGATCTCTAGGTCAGAAGCAAAATGCCGTCAGTCTCTTTGCTAAAATATAACAGAAGCCACCTTTGCTCCAGTTGCCAACAAGTTTCTCATCTCCATTTGAGACCAGCTCAGACTGGATTTCAGTGTCCATATCATTATCAGCATTTTGCTTAAAGCCATTCAGCAAGTCTCTAGGGAGTTCCAAACTGTCCCACATCTTTCTGTCTTCTTCTGAGCCTCCAAGCTGTTACAGCCTCTGCTTGTTACCCAGTTCCAAAGTCATTTCTACATTTTTGGGTATCTTTTCAGCAGCACCCCACTCTACTGGTACCAATTTACTGTGTTAGTTTGTTTTCATGCTGCTGAAAAAAACATACTCCAGACTGGGCAATTTACAAAAGAAAGCAGTTTATTGGACTTACAGTTCCACATGGCTTGGGAGGCCTTACAATCATGGCGGAAGGTGAAAGTTACGTCTCACATGGCAGCAGACAAAAGAAGAGAATTTGCGCAGGGAAACTCCCCTTTTTAAAACCATCAGATCTCATGAGACTTATTCACTCTCATGAGAACAGTACAGGAAAAACCTGCCCCATGATTAAATTATCTCCCACTGGGTCCCTCCCACCACATGTGAGAATTCAAGATGAGATTTGGGTGGGGACACAGCCAAAGCATATCACAGGGATACGATAATGAGATAAAGTAATTCAGAAATTCTCGCCCTCAATCGAGGTTCTGTTCTTTTGTGATAGACAGGGAATTAATAAGTAAAAATTATTATTTTACTTATTTATAACAGTAATAAAAATTATTATTTTATAATTAATAAATTATGTTTAATTAATAAGTAAAAACAAAGCATGATGATCAGCACTAAAGAGAAAAATAATGTAGGAAAGGAGACGAAGTATTGAGGGCAGAAAGCTAGTTGCAATTTTAGACAGGATGTTCTGGGTGTGAACGCATCTTTCTAGTGAGGATCTGAAGGAAGTAAGGGAGCTAGTTGCTCAGATACCTGGAGCAAGAGCAGTGAGGCTCAAGGAAAGGCAGTAGGAGGGGCTGAGGGGAAAGTGTGCCTGGCATGTTCAAGCCTAACAGAGAGGCTGCTGGGGTCGGGCAGGATGAACGATGGGGTAAGGCCCTGTGAGGGCCTTGTGGGGTTTCACTCCCGATGTGGTGAGAAGCCACTGGGAGGTTTTGCCCCCCCAGGCCTGGGCCTTGAATGTGTGGGAAAGGGCTTATTAAAAATTAAATTCAGCCATAAATTATGAAGCAGACTCAAAAGATTGAATTTTATTGAAGGAATGAAACTGGAATTGAGTGAGAAGTAAAATCTGGGTTTCATGGTTTGGGAGTCATCTGTGAGAGGTTGTAGTTAAATTTTGAAGATGGATGCAGAACTCTGAGGAGACGTTTTTGAAGGAAACGAGAGGAGGAACCAAAGTCTGTGCCCTAGCGATGTCCTTCCCTACTTCTGGGCACTGGAGGGAGAGTCCTGTGTCAGCCTTAAAATGGTAATAGTGGTCCACCTCCTTTTTCTTTTTATTTCTTTCTTTTATGGGGGTTGTTTTCTAGGAGATCTCCAGTATTCTGTCTTAGACTTCTTGTAAGGTAAAATTATGGAAGAAGGAAGGAAAAGTAATTGAAAGAATGCATGATGTTGACTTTGTGTTGACCCATCAACTTGTTCTTTTATGGAGGAATGGGATGGGCAGGTGGCTGGCTTCCACCCCACCTCTGGTGATTTAGAATTACAACCAAAAACTGTCACATAAAGGCTCTTAATTTCTATGACATTAGCCCCAAAGAAACCCTCAAAAGTATTGAAGTCTGAGACGTATATTAATTTCAATTTATTCTCCTTTTTGTGTCATCTTTCTTAGTATTAAGCTTAAACATTCTTCAATCACAATTATCAAAAGCATACTTTGTTCATTTTAATTTTTGTTTTATATATAAGAAGATAGAGGTACTTGCAAATCTCAATGTTTTCACAAGTTGAATTGTGTGACTTTCATACCAAGCTTCTGTTGTTTGTTGTTTGTTTTTTAAAAATAAAACATTATGTTATAGTCGGGACCAAAAACAAAATTTCACAGGCTATTTCTTCTGCCAAAGAAACATTGCCCTCTCTTGGTTTAAGATGTCAAAACACTTAGCAGTGTTTTCTGCCTAATTTTGGAGTGTTGCTTTCTGATTATGAATTGGAGCAGTTTGCCTTGAAATTGCATAGATATGCATTTTGCCCATAAGTGAATGTATACAGCTGATTTCTCGTGTGACTTTCAAATGGAAGTCAGAGTTAAAATGGAAAATTGCTGTAGGAAGCTGGCACGTTTTTAAACTCCTGAGTGCTTTTGGGGGGAATAGAACCTCTTTCCATTCCTGGTTGCATGGAAAATATTAAACCCCTTTTAAGTAAGCAGGAGATGAGATGAGTATTATGGATTTTCATCTTTTTCTCCTGAGTTCTTGGATTCAAATCCTATTCCTGTTGCAGTGTTATTCTGCATTAAAGATCTTGACTGCTGAGATTGAACCATTATTTTCATACTTATTTTTCCTTAAACTTGTTTGGTGCTATGAGAATATTCAATATATAGCTTTTTGTTGCAGAGATTTTAGCAGCATTAGTTCATCTTGACTGATGCCCTTGACTTCAGAGTATAAATAGAAAAATAGAGATAGGTGACAAGGATTGATTAGCTATCCTCATTCTAAGTGAAACAGTAAACCTAGCTAGATAAATCACAGCTCAAAAGCCTGGAGAATGCATGGTAAAAGAAAGAAAGGTAGTGCGTATGTGTGTGTATGTGCTTAATAGTGAAGTTTTCTAAAAGAGGTACAAGCACAGAAATTCTATATGGTCTGTTCTACTGTCTTTCCGTTTTTATTTTCAAAAACTTAAGGGTTTAAATAACATATGGAATTATTATTTGCTTTTTCTTTTATTTAAAGAAATTTTTTAAGTAAAAGAAAACTGAGACCAATGTCATTGCCTTTTTAAGTCAGATATATGTGTGTGTATACATCTGTGTGTGTGAGAGAGAGTGTGTGTGTGAGAGAGTGTGTGTATGTGTATATATATATATATGCACATATATGCATATACACATACATATGATTACTTTGTTATTAGACTTTAACTGTAGGGTTGGAAGGGCTCAGGGGAGATCGCCTGATTTTTTTCTCTGGCACTTTTAAGCTATTTAAGCATTTTAATAGTGTTTACTCTGTGCCAGGCAGTATTCTAAGCACTTGATATATATGAACTCATTTAACTCTGACATTCAGCCAAAGAGATACATCTATTATTATCCCCACAAACCGTACAAGGAAACTGAAGTTCACAGAAGTTCAGCAGCTCACCTCATGAGAAATGAAGCTGGGATTTTAACCCAGGCATCAAGGCTGTGTCTTCAGCCCTTATATTAGCACCTGCCTCTCTCCCTCTCCTCCTCTTCTTTCTAGATTTTTCAGTTCGAAGGGCCAGTTTTCACTCTGACTTCCCTTTACCTGATGTGGTTTCTTCAGCCTATAGTTTGAGCCTTTTTCAGTTTGTTTTCCTTTATTCTTTTCTTGAGCCTGGTGAAGAACAACCCTTCTCCATGTCTCCATCCGTCACCGCTGCTCCATTCTTTCACCCTCCTCCTCCTCGGTGATATTCTCCAGCCTTCAAACCATTTCTGAATTCTTAAGTTACATTACATCAGGATTAGAAGCTGCTGTTATAACGACGGCTTGTCCAGTTCTGAGTAAGATAGTATTAATAGCACAATTACCTCATAGTTTCTACATATATATACTCTATTCCTGTTTGCCACATCTTTTTTCTCCTGTATTTGCAAAAATACATTCTTCTTGCGTTAACAGTTTGCTATTATGATGCCATGCATGTAATCATGAGTATTTCTCAGCTTTTCTAAGACCTTTGAATTTTAACAATAATTCGCAAACACGCTTGCCTTTCTGTGGACATTTTATGGGATTTATTCAGGTTATTTATGAAAGTTTATAACTGTGTCCTATGATCTCCTGGCTCTTGAGACACACTGCTGTTAATATGTCAAATATGTAAATTTCCATTTAGTGTGGAACTGTCAAAGACAGTTGTATGATTCAGTTTGATAAATGGGTACTTTGGGCCAGCTGTCAGGGTATTATCTTCCTGACTGAATCCAAGGGAAGAGAATAAAGAATGGAATACCATCCTGCACCCAGCACTCTTCACCCATATCCCCCACACTCCCTCTCTACTTGGTTTCATCTAGCAGAGCCTCCATTCTCTTACTGAAGATGAAATCATGCTGATGAGTTCTGTCCTTCCTAAGCCAAAGATAATTATGACCTGATTATCTGGTACCACACAATATTAAGTTTGCAAAAGTGAGTTTACCCTGATTGCTGCTGCATTGTATTAAGTAAACAGCAATTCCACCAGATTGTAATTTGTAAATTCAGCTTTTTTCCCCTCTATCCTTGACCTTCTACAATAATGTTTAATATTTAGTCTGAGGTGACTGGGGTGGGTGATGAACAGTCTGCCTTGTATGTTTTTCTTGACTATGCTGCTAGGTTTTATTATTATTATTATTATTATTATTATTATTATTATTATTATTATTATAGGTGTTGCTAGGTTAGAATTGTTTCCGCCTATACTGGGGACTTTGCTGCTGTAGGATCTTGGATAGTTCACCTGTTCCTTTCTTTGAAAGTTTTGCATGATTGCTGAAATTCAGTCTATAATATGTCCATTAGTGCAATCAGATTCACTTTTAACTGGCATATTTATGCCCTTATAACTTTCTACCCAGACGGTGAGAACTTTGGCCAGTGGATTGGCGGTGAAGGGAGTGTTTTTCCTTCCAGCTGGGGAGCTTACGTGTTCCTGAGCATCCTATTCTTGCCTCTGTTTTATCATGATAGTATTGTAATTTAGCTCTTTCCCTATATGTTTCCCCCACCTCAGTGAAATTCTCAAAGACTGTGAGTGCACAGTTCAGGGCCTGGCTTCGTGATGTTCTATAGGGCTAATCTTACACTTTCCTTTCTTTATTCCAAACTTAATTTAAGATGGGGCTATTAGTAGTAATCCAAGGAACCTCTTAGTTTTGAAAGGATTTTAGTAATTGTCCAAGGGGCTTACACTCCATACATGTATATGTTTGAAAAAAAATTACTTTTTAGCAGTGGACTTGGAACCAAACTTTTTGGAACACAACTATTTTTATCCCAGTTTTACACTTCTGTCCAGGTACATGGTAGAGATGCCATAGATATAGAGTTATATTGAATTCCTTTATAATAATAATGCAGGGGGAAAGGATCATCTGGTGAATGGAAAAGGAACCCTGGTAGAGGAAGGGGATGGGGCAGGGATTATTGCAATGACTGCCTACGGATGAGGGAAAAGTTGAGATTGGGGTATGCATGTCATCAGAGGACCACACCATACAAATTTGAGTGGTCACAGGCATTCTAGGAGTTAGAGACGGAGATGTTAGCAGAGGTGTGAATAGAGGTAGGGTCTATCGTGATAGTAGATGGAGTCCTGAGAATGGAAGTTTTATATGGGATGACAAGAAAAGACACAGTGTGGGGAGAAGCTATAGAACGCAGGAGATGATGGCCAACCTGAAAAGAGGACAATGGTGGTTGTTGGCCATCATAACAATGGAGAAAGGGCAAGAAGAGAGGCAGGGAATCCCTTAAGCAGCAAGGGATTGCTGCAGGGATGGGGAAAGGGAGTTTTCTGGGACCCTGATGACTTTGGCAGCAGCCAGTAGTGTTGGGGCTGTTCTGTGAATTGTATATGGTCAACCAGTGATTGATGCTTAAATTGTATGTAGTCACGGGGAGCTTGTGACTGGCCAAAGAATGGAGTAACACGTTTGGCTTAGCCTGCCAAGAATGAGATCATATTTGACCATAATGCTGAACAAACAGGATTCAAAGGGTAGATCAGAATTTTAATTTACTCTGTTCTCTCCCTCGGTGCCTATTCAAACCATTTTGTGGAGCTGAGTTTTCTGTTCCTGGATGAAATCTTAGACAAACTTGTTTGCTTCACTAACTTCTCTCAGATTAAAAGCAAAAAATAGTTCAAAACTTGTATTCATAAACACACAGTCTTGGTTCATTAATTGTTATGTCTGGTCTAGTCCAGGACAGTTAATTCAAAGGTAAGGCTTCTCCCTCCTGTCCAGCTTCTGCTTGCTGTAGGTGTGGAGCCTGCAGTGGGAAGGAGTGTTGTGGTATGCCTCTTCTCCCTTGTTGTCTGCCAGACATGTCTGCTCTTCCTCCCCTGCTCACCAGGCGACTCTGGATTCTTCAGAGTAGACTGGGTGGGGAGGGAGGATAAAGGGCAGAAAGGTCTTACAGAACCGAACATCGGTTTGCCGCTGGTTTCTTCTGGCTGTGGCTGATGGTGAACCTGACTAGTTCTTTTGTGGACCCTTTTATAAATTCTTTGGAGAGTCCCTTCCTTCTCTATTTCTGTGCTTCTCTAGTCTGTTTTCCTTGACGTGGGAGGAGGGAGGAGATACACCTCCTCTTTCATTCCAGTGGTATGCTGCTGAGGTCTCCTTATGGATCCAGGCAGCCTTAATTCAGATGCAGATCATGTTGACTTTGTAGTACTTATGGAATATTTAGGAGAAAATACCCTTCTAGAGTCAGAGAGAAGCCAGAGGTGGAAGTGTAGATGTGGGGGTAACTGCTTTGCAGATGATGGTTAAAAGTCAGGAGATTGAGCAAGGTTGCCCAGGAAGACAGGAGGAAAAAGATCTCAAAAAGACACTTGCATTTAAGAGGCCTAGAAGGAAATGGAGCTGGCAAAGAAGGTGGAAGCATCATTCAGAGTACTGGCTTTAGAAAAGGGCAGGCTGGATGGGAGCCAGCCCAGAATAATGCCTATTAGTATGTCTGTTCTTTACCTGGAAAGGGGAACTTAAAACACATATGTTTTTATTTAAATTGTGTAAAGACTCTACACTGTTTTCTTCCTGTTTTAAAAATTGATGTTAATTTTAGTTTTAAATTTCTAATTCTTTGAAGACAAAAATGTTAACTTTTTTTCCAGTTGTATATGAACACAGATCAAGATTAGAGAAATCCTTGCAAAAAGAAAGACTTGAACATAAAAAAGCAAAGGAAGGTAAGTAAATACATAATTTGTGTTCTGTGTTTTTCCAGTACTCTTCTTTGACGTATCATATACTTGGTTTACAATTTTTTTTTGGCTAAGATCGTTCTCAAATCAACCCAAAGTCAGATAGGTGGACAGAGAAAGACATGTCAAGTAATATATTATGCATTGTGCAATAATCCCTATACAAGATTGGATTTAGAATACTGTATTCAGTTTATGCCACCTTGTGATAGCTCATATATTGGTTACACTTATTATTTCAGGAATAACATATAATTTTTCATCTGCATATTAAACGGGTATATTACTTACACCTGGAACTTCTGTCCACAGATATTGAGGGGGCTGGGGTTGGGGGGGAAGTAACAGGATGCATTGTCCAGAATATGACAAATTTTATACACATACATATATATTTATACCGTAATGAATTGATCCCATTGTCCATTATATTTTAAGTTATGCACCTGTTTTTACCTTGTGAAAGTTTTTATTGACACATCAGTTGATTCAGTTTGAAAGTTTACATTTAGGACAGCCACTGGGCAATGCTGTCAATTTTTATCAGAATTTTTCCATAAAACACAGGCCTTATACAGCTGATGATTTGAAGTTATCTGCATTCTGATATTTATTTATTCATGTTTTATGATAAATCTTGAAATTTAAATTACGTGTTCTGTCTGCCTACCTTGGTAGGAAGGAAGAGGATAGCAGAGGAGGGGCAGTATTGGTTAGGATGTTTTACTGACCCTTGGATTGAGCCTGTGTGAAGAATAGAAGTTCAGCATCATTAAATGCTTTGATAAGATTTGGAGTCTCCTTGCCTTCAAATGCAGAGTGATTTTATAGAGCCATCTAGTGGATAATAAGGTTTTCAAAGCATTAAAGATGGCTTGGCTGGCTTGATTTCTGTTTTCAGGAACTGAATGATTTTAGTGTGCCATCTAGTGGATAGCAATAAATCACCTTTGTCTTCAGATGTGCTCCATTTTTTCCCTCCTAAATTTCAAGGAGAGTTAATCAGAGATATTCTAAAAGCACTTTTAATCAATTGGCTATAATTTGGATTTTGTGGATGCAAGATTTACAGCTGTAAGGTAAAGAGGAAGCTGTATGTTTTTTCCAATTCTTTCTAAAGCAATGAGAGCCAAAATAAAGTATGTAAATCACCAAGTAGATTGTTTTAAACCTAAAACACTTTTGTAAGCATGAGTGAAGTTTGCCTTTATTTCTTTAGATGTTTAAAATCTGTGTAGTGAATTATCACTGTTTTTTTCCATCTTGTATTTTCTAGATTTTCTTGTTTATAAGTTAGAAGCACAAGAAACATTAAATAAAGGAAGGGTAAGTTTTGTTTTTTTTGTTGTGGTTGTTTGTTTTCCTTAATTTGTTTTCATAAAACTTGAAAGAGAGAGAAATACAGTTGCGAACTCTTTTACTTTTTGATCCCTGGGATTATAGGACTGACACCCCCTTTTTTTTTTTTTGGCTGCCAAAAAATTCTAAGAGGAAGACTTTAAACTTACCTTTACTTATCACATTGTTGATAATAGGGATAAACTGGGAATAACCTTAATGTTCAACTATAAAAAGAAGATTATTTCATTTATTTGTTTGCAGTCTCTCTTTTTTATAGAATGTAAGATTTATTTTGGTTTGCCTTCACATGTGTAACATGCAACACAGGACCTGGCCTAGAGTTTTCATTTAAGAACATTTGTGGAATGGGTGAAGGGATGAATGATACTGGCATTTAAAAATATTTTACTTGAAGGCAGCATGCTCGTTAAGAGTCATCACCACTCCCTAATCTCAAGTACCCAGGGACACAGACACTGCGGAAGGCCGCAGGGTCCTCTGCCTAGGAAAACCAGAGACCTTTGTTCACTTGTTTATCTGCTGACCTTCCCTCCACTATTGTCCTATGACCCTGCCAAATCCCCCTCTGCGAGAAACACCCAAGAATGATCAATAAAAAAATAAAAATTAAATAAATAAATAAATAAAAATATTTTAAAGTCCAAATTAACTGGATAAAAGCTACTCTTTTCTTACTCTAAGAAAAGTATATAAGCATTAATTGAAAAACATTGATATTTTGGGGTATTAAAACTAAGAAGAAGCCAAGTGAGTTGGCTCACATCTGTAATCCCAAAACTTTGGGAGGCTGAGGCAGGAGGATTGCCTGAGGCCAGGAGTTTGAGACCAGCCCGTGCAAAATAGCAAGACTTCAAAGTACAAAATATTAGCTGGGCGTGATGGTACACATGCCTCTATTCCCAGCTACTTGAGAGCTGAGGCAGAAGATCACTTGAGCCTAGGAGTTTAAAGCTTCAATGAGCTATGATCCCACCACTCTACTCCAGCCTGGACAACAGGGCAGACCCTATCTCAAAATAAAAAAACTGAGAAGAGTCACTTCTTTGGATAGCCCAGGAGGCCATCAGCTTTCAACTCTTGCTTGCTTTTAACAGCACTAACCAAAGCTGTGTGCACTTGTAATTTCCTTACAAATTAAAGCAGTAAAGTGAGGAAGCAAAAATGCAGTTCATTTTAGAAGTTTTTAATAAAAATATGAAAAAAAATGCATGAGTGTATACTTGTGCTGGCAGGGTAAAGTGAGGGATATGGTACCTAAACATAAACAACATAGCATAGAGAGGGAAAAGAATCAGGTGTGTTTTGCATACTGACTGGTTATGGCTGCCCGGGACTATTGGGTCCATATGTGAAGATACCCCACAGGAACACAAAGATATACCCCTGGAACCTGGAGCTCAGGACACGCAGTTCAGCCAGAGACTTAGGCTCAAGTTTCAATCCTGGCTCTGCTACTTAATGAAATATTTGCTCTTGGCAGGTTCCTAATCTTTACTCAGTTTCTCACTCTGCAAAATAGAGCCTCACTGGGGTAAAATCATGTATATAGAATTTCTTACCCGCTGAAGTTCAGGGAAAGAAAGTGCCTTTTCTCTTCCCCCTTTAAGCCATGCTCAGCTTGTGAGGCCCGCTCCTCATCGGTTTATTTCTTCTTCCCTCTTACCTCAAGCACCCAGCGCATATATTAGCCCTGCGCGGTGACTCTGTGTCTCAGGACAAGTTCGTATGTCTGGGCTCCAGTTCTTCTGAATATGAAAGTGGAAGGAAATCATCTCTAAGGGCTCTTTCAAGCTACTGTTTTATGATTTCATATCCTGCTTTTTTACTCTAAAATCTAGCAAACTAAGGGGAATGTTAAAACTTCATTTCTGTGTTAAATCGATGGCTCCAGCGACATCTTGGTTCAAATGTAGAATTCATTTTACTGTACACAAGTGAAATAAATAAAGTTATATTTTAAAGTGCTTTAAGCTGTATTTAACAAGAGAGCCATATTTATCTTTGTGTTTTCTTTTTTTTTTTTGATTTACAGCAAGATTCCAATAGCAGATACAGTGCACTGAATGTCCAACATCAGATGTTGAAAGTGAGTAATCTAAAGTTGTTATTTATGAATAAAAGAAAGGATTAACTAATACTTGAACTGACTAATGGCCTTTAAAGTGATTAAAGAAAGTTTACAGAAGTTGATTTGTATTGTAATATGGCATTTTAAAATCTTATTTGGCTAAAAATTATATATAGTTGTAATGGCTTGTCGTATTTATCACTCGATTACATAGAACATTTTAATTATTACACATTTTCTTGCAAATCAGGCTCTCGGTTACCTCATTTTTAATTTTCTTCTTCTCTCTATCCATTAGGGTTTTATGTTCATTTACTTTCTCACAGTGGTTTTCCTTAGACATTTTCTTTTATCTTACACAGATTGGAGGCTGTAGAACTATTAAAATGCTTCCTTCTTGTTACTAATATTTAATAAATGTCCTTTTACTTACCACAGGAACACAAATTATTATTTAAAGATTCTGCTTCCTTGGTCCTTGAGTAAAACTCATTATTCTGTGTCAGGAAGAGGATCATTGTTTCTGTCAAGCTGGAAGAGACGGGCAGCATGCAGTTATGCCCTTCTCGCAGGATGCAGATCATGCCGGCATCTCCACCCCACCGTGCCTCCCCCTCGCTTTCTGTTTGCTATTGTCTTTCCCTCTGATATCAGTAGGGCATGCACTTTTTATTGAAACCGGAATCTTTTCTTATTATCAAGAGAGCAGTAAATGAATTAAAGCAAACCATGCTTTCACATTAAGCACTTGGAGACTGTAGTGTTTATCTAGATCATGATTACATTGTAGGATTATAATCGGAAATAAGGTAAATAAAAGTCAATTCTCTAAACAGTTGATTACTATTCCCAAAGGGAAAAGTCTCATTTACTCTCTCTCTTTTAAACTGAGTTACCAGAAAGGCTGAAATACCAAAGAAGGAAAATTAAATGCATTGCTGGGAAAACATCAGATCGAAAGAGGAAATCCATAATACCCAGGGAGGGATAATTTTGCCATTAGCTTTACCTTGTTTCCACAGTAATATGTGTCCCTGGGAATTTTCCCACATTTTTTCCCTTTCCATCTCTCATGCTAACTTCTTAAAAATTAAGGGGAAAATTATTTTTGGCTGTGATCCCAACTGTTCATTTGAAATCCAGGGGAAATGGAGGGAAGCTGCACAAATTAAAGCAACTTGAGAAAAACAAAGCCTATTTCTTCATGTGTTTGTGCTTGCTTGCTTTCATTTGTTTTTGTTTACTGTGCTGTCAAGAAATAGACTCTCATATAATTCAGAGAATGTATATTTCTACTCAAGTTTTCATCTTTGCAGAGCCAACACGAGGAGCTAAAGAAACAGCACAGTGACTTGGAAGAGGAACATCGCAAACAAGGGGAAGACTTCAGTAGAACATTTAATGACCATAAGCAAAAATACTTGCAGCTCCAGCAAGAAAAAGAACAAGAACTTTCTAAGCTAAAAGGTATTTGGAAATCTGATTAGCCAGTTTATCTCTAAATAAGTACTGATATTAATGTTTCAGTGCAACTGTAGACTGTTGTTTTGAGTGGTGATCGATTTACATTTATCATGTGGTCCTTTACCAGTCACTTTTTCTTTGTAATGTTTCACATGTATCTTCATCTATTTGGGTTGGTTTAGGGAAGCAGAATAGAATATGTCGTGTGTTCTGTTGTATCGTAGTGTATTCTCTTGTATCTCAGTGGGGCACATGGCCCTGTTGGGCAAGACGATTCTTCTCTTAACTGGGTTGCGAGACAGATAGCATCTCTGATCCTTACCTACTAAATGCTATAATGCTTCTCAGTTATTGCCACAATCAAAAATTGCTCCATATATTTCTAAAAATCTCCAAGGGAGCAGAGACTTGCTGTTGATCGCCAGTAGTAACTGAAAAAAGCTCAAGTTCTATAGTCAGACTGCCCAGGTGAATCTTGGCTTCTTCACTAGCTATGTGACCATGGGTAAGTTGTGTGACAACTGTGGGCTTCATTGTCTTATCTGTGAAATTGAGATAATCATAAAAATATCAACCTTGTAGAATTGGTGTGAGAAATAATTTACATAAAGCATGTAGAGTAGTTGCTCATAAATTTGCTACCCATCAACATCTGTGTCAGGTATTTTCATAGTAATATGAAACAAAATATGTCACTTTTCTGAGTGCATGTGAGTCCTGGAGAAAGAAACCAGTGCATTCTGCAATCAAATATTTAGGTGAACTCCAGATTAATCACAAGACACACGTCTTCCCCATTTCAACCGGGGACGGTGGCTCACGCCTGTAATCCTAGCACTTTGGGAGGCCAAGGTGGGTGGATCACTTGAGGTCAGGAGTTCGAGACCAGCCTGGCCAAAATGGCGAAACCCCATCTCTACTAAAAATACAAAAATTAGCCGGGCATCGTGGCACATGCCTGTAATCTCAGCCATTCGGGAGGCCAAGGCAAGAGACTCGCTTGAACCCGGGAGACGGAGGTTCTTACAGTGAGCCAAGATCGCACTAAAATTAAATGCATTGCTGGGGCACTGCATTGCTGGGGCATTGCACTGCACTCCAGCCTGGGTGACAGAGAGAGACTCTGTCAAAAAAAAAAAATAGGTGCTAAATAAGTTTAAAGTGAGATAATTGGTTTTAAGAGGCATATGGTGCATGCAAAAACAGTGGTCAAGCCCAAATCAAGTTTGTAGTCTAGTTCACTGTACTGACCCCAACAGTTTCCTGGTTTTGGTAATGTACTGTATTTGTATAAGATGTCATCATGATGGGAAGCTGGGTGTTGTGTCCTTAGGACCACTCTATATGTTTTTTGCAACATTTCTCTATAATATAGCATTTCAAAAAAAGTAAGTTACAACAAAAAGTCATGCAGGAGTTAAATAGTCTTGAGGCAGTACTACAAAGGGTTAAGGGTCTATACTTTCTGATTATTTTATTTTTATATATTTTTAAAATTTTAAATTATTTTTAAAAATTTGACTGAAATGCTGAAGCTTTGTTTTTAATTTGTGAAGAGACTCAAATCTGAGTACACCTACGCATTATATTTTATTCCTAAGGGTATGCTTATTGACATTAACATCTCATTTTTAATTCCTAGGTAACAAAAATTCCTTATCTTTTGTCTGTCATGCAAAAGTTGTTTAAAAGCATTTAAAGTACTGAACCAGAGTGGATTGAGATGTCCAGCTAAAACCATGCTACATCCCAATACAATATCATTTTTGTTGATTTTGAATATTATATTGTCTGAGTTCAAAATAAATTCTAAAATAAGTTATAGGTGGCTTTAGATATGAAAATAATAGAAACAGAATCCTGAAAGTTTCAAGGCTTTATGTGTGATCCTTCTTTTTCTAAAATAGAGACTGTATACAATTTGAGAGAAGAGAATAGACAACTAAGGAAAGCACACCAAGACATACATACACAGCTTCAAGATGTCAAGGTAAAAGAAAACCAAACGTTTCACTATTTAGTGTTTGCCTGCTTTATTTGGTAGAATGACTTTAAAAAGTCATTCCCTAATTGGCCTGCTTTACAAATCCACGTTGTTATTGTGGGCTTTGCATTAACTAGAGTGTACCTAATATTTTTACCACTTCAGCATTGTAAGCTAAAAGATGGTCTGAAAATCTGAATATTCTCATTAGTACTGAAATTATTCTCATGCTAGTTACATATTAATAAGCTTTTTATTTATAAAAGTTTACTAATAATGAGAAATTTGTTTCTTTGGTTTTGATTTCATTGTAAATAAATGATTATGATATTTGGGTAGCACGTTTTAGATTTTGGAATACTACATAAAGCGTAGTGTTCTCTCTACGATGATTTTTAAACTTAACACATGCTGCTACAACAACAAATAAACAAGCAAGTAACATTTGGGTAGCCATATCACGATCAGCCAAAGAAGAATTTGTCGTAGAATGTTAAAGCTCAACATGTAAAATTCTTTTTTGTGTAGCAACAGCATAAGAATTTACTCTCCGAGCATGAACAACTTGTAGTGACTTTGGAAGACCACAAGAGTGCACTAGCTGCTGCACAGGTTAGAAGGGTAGCAGCCTCTGTGGGTTCTTTTACAAGTCTGCTTAACATTTCTCAATTCCTTTATGCATGTAGTCTCTTACAAGCCAATCTTCAGTGAGTTCCTTAGGACAGAGCTATCCTAATCCTGAGGATCATGCATGCTTTCAAAATTCAATCAGTAAGATATTAAACTTTTGATTATTTTTTGCACTGGTTGTGCGGTACATAAATGATCATTTCTTTCCACTCTCGTCCCTACATGCAGTAGTCTAATACTTGTTTAAATCACAGAAATGATCTCACATATATAGTCTTTTGCAACTATCTGATCTGTGTTGACTCTTGGTGTAGTATCTGTAGGATTTTATGCTGCTAGCTACCTAAAACTATTGTCAGACTTTTTCTTCTGTGTCTGCCTTGCTCCCAGAATTCCAGCCTACACACCCTCCTTTTGGAACGAGGCTTATGTGTTGTTGGTCAAATTACAGAAAAGTAGAAGAGTCAACAGAGAAGGAAAAACAAGAGTCATAAGCTCCATTTGTTCAAACCTAGAACAGCTCCTGGCACAAGGCAGGCCCTCAGTATATATTTACTGAATGAACAGGGGAACAAATACAAGTGTTGGAGAGCTTATTAAAGCGATTTCATGCTAAGTGTTATGCAGATTTCTAGCAGAAGGAAGGAAACAGGAATGGCTAGTTTAGTTGCTGTTGTAAACTAGATCTTCACTTTTATTCTTACTGGAGGAATTATGATAAAAGAACAAAGGTAAACGATCTATGCTCATCAGGAAACCCATGTTGGTTTTCTTTTCTTTATAAAATTATTAAAAGGTATAATTTTCTGTCCCTGACCCATCTCAGAGGCTGTAGCATCTGTGTTTGTGAGATTCCTTTTCTAAACAGTCATTGATTAGGTGTCTCCTCCTAAGCTGTAGCTGTGTAGTGATTTTTTACATGTGTATAAATGAAATTGACGTCAGGGATCATTTCATTTCACGTCTTCTTTATAAAAATTTTTGTCAAGTATTATTTTATATGAGGCTGTTCTTCATACTATAAATGTGACAAACTGATTTGAGTGCTCTGTGTGCTGTAACGGCCATAAATGTAAGACTGAGCAACAATTTGAAAATCCATAGAAAGATAAGTAAAATCATTTATTTGATGACCAAAACCAAATTCTGGAGTAGAACTCTGACAGTATTACTCACAGGGTTTTATAATAGAAAAAAAAATTTTGGCCGGGCACCGTGGCTCATGCCTGTAATCCCAGCACTTTGGGAGGCCGAGGCGGGTGGATCACCTGAGGTCAGGAGTTTGAGACCAGCCTGGCCAACATGGTGAAACCCCTTCTCTACTAAAAATACAAAAATTAGCCAGGCGTGGTGGTGTGCACCTGTAATCCCAGCTACCCAGGAGGCTGAGGCAGGAGAGTCACTGGAACCCAGCGGGGCGGAGGCTGCAGTGAGCCGAGATTGCACCACTGCACTCCAGCCTGGGTGACAGAGCAAGACTCCATCTCAAAAAAAAAAAAAAAATTTTTTTTTTCTTAATATATAGTTATAATTTTCTATTTATTGAAATATCTTTTTTGGCGAGGATGCTCAAGGTTTGTCCTGCCTTAAAAAAAAGTGTCAGAACTAGGTGCAATCCTTAATTAGAGCCATATGTGTTAGTTACTTTGGGCTGCTATAACAAAACACCCTAGACTGGGTGTCTTATAAACTATGGAAATGTATTTCTCACAGTTCTGGAGACTGGAAGTCCTAGATCAGGGTGCCAGCATGGTCAGATTCTGGTAAGGGCCCTCTTCTTCCAGGTTGCAGACTGTTGAATTCTCCTTGTATCTTCACATAGCAGAAAGAGACCAAGAAAGCTCTCCTGGATCCCTTTGCAAGGGCACTAATCCCATTCTGTAGGGCTTCACCCTTACGACCTAATTACCTCCCAAAGGCCCTGCCTCCTGATCCATCACATTGGAGGTTAGGATTTTAACATATGAATTTTGAGAGGACACAAACATTCAGTCTGTAATACTGTATTAAGACTTTCCCCAAATCTCCTTTTAAAAAAAATGCTGTTTCAGGCACCTGCATTTCTCATGTAAATCATCTTAGGAGATTCTGCCTTGACAACCTGATTTTTAAATGTAGTTGAGTATTTTATTTAATCCTCACAACCTTGTGAGTTATATAATATTGTACCCTTTTATAACTAAATAAACTGAGATGAAAAGGGAAGTAAAGTAGCTGGCCCAAAATCAATGACCAGAACCAAGGTTGAAGCTCAGGTTATCCTGACTTTGAAATCACGCTTAACTCTTAAGTGATATTTTTTGAGACTTCCTGCATCACAGGTACCTGGGCCTTGTCCTAGACCTGTTGAATTATAATTTCAAGAGTAGGGGACCAGGAGCCTACATTTTTAATATGGTCCCTAATTGTGCAACACACAATTACTGCCTTCAAAGATTATGTGTCTAGGAGAAAGAAGGAGTAGAATTGAGTTTTGTGTATTGCTCCATATTTATCTTAAAATATTAAAAGCATTGCTATGTGTATGTCATTTATTTTTTACCTCCAAAGTTGGTTTGCAAATATTTAGATTTCTCAGATAAAGGCCATTGCTAGTCATATGGTGCACCTTTGTACAAAATTATTAAAAGGCAGTGCCCTGGGAATTATTTAGCAAGCAAACTTCATTACCCTAGTGTACACTAGAAAGAAGCAAAAAAAGCACCTCACTCTTGGGGTGGAAGAGCAGTGTGCCATGGTGCATAGCTATGGCAGCAGGAATGCTGGTGGGTTCTGGCTCCACTCACCTGCTGCGCCCCACACACTGCGGAGCTGGCCCTGTCTGGGAAGCTTGTTGAGAAAAAGACTTCTGTGTTCTCTGCATGTGTTTATATGTCTGTTTACACACACAACATTTCTGTTTTCAGGATAACAGTGTTGGTGTATAGAATGAGCAAAGTATACACAATGCCTCTTGATTTTGTTAATTAAAGTAATTGATTTTTTTCTAATTTTCTAGCTCCTTGTATTAAAAATATTACACAGACATCCACACATCCCACCCCATGTACACACAGGTGCAGCTGTATGAGCAGATTCTAGTCCTGTACCTGTGTTAGTACCTTTGTCACTTTAGAAGAAAAGATCATTCACAATCAAGGATAAAAAAATCCAGTCTATATCACAGCTGTGCCACTGTTTTCCAGAAACCACAGAGCACAGTGTAGGAAACATTCTAGCCAATTAGGGATTCTATTTGAGCACAAATTAACTGAGGGGGAAAATGGTAGCCTGAGTATTTATATGTGTGTGTGTTTGTGTGTGTGTGTGTGTGTGTATGTGTATTTAAAATTTATTTTAAACCTATGACTCCTTTCTACTGAAAGATTTTATTCAGATCATATTGGTAAAAGGTATTTGCACTTGTATTTTTATAATTATATGAGTTTTTAATGGATTTTTTAATATGATAAAACATCACAGAACGGTCTTTTAATAGTGATATTTATATTAGTAAGTTATTTACAAAAGTTCTGACTTCAGTGTAGTATGGGAAACTAACATCTGTCTTAGATATTTTTTCTGTTTCCTTCAGCTCTGTTTCTAATTTGCATGCGCTCAAAAATGATTAAGCATGCCCAAGTAAGAATAGTGAATGCATGGAAACAATCTGTATGTTTTTCTAACTTGTATTTAGGTACAATATTTTTGTCTAGTTTTACAGTGTACCCAAATGCCCATCTATGAATGGGCATTCATAGATTCCCTCCTCAAATTGTGCAATTTATATGCAGACTCAAGTTGCAGAATATAAACAACTGAAAGATACTCTGAATAGGATTCCAAGCCTTCGAAAACCTGATCCAGCAGAACAGCAAAATGTGACCCAGGTGGCACATTCTCCACAAGGTTACAACACAGCAAGGGAGAAGCCAACCCGAGAGGTGCAGGAGGTAAGGGGCGTGAACTGGTAATCTATGGTTAGGTCACTTTCTCTGTCAAGTTGCCAAGAGGGGACCTGCTTTTAATATTGCCAACTTTTCTGGGAGAGCAGTAGTTCTCAAATTTTAGTATATCAGAATTGCCAGTAGGGCGTGATAAAACACAGATTACTGGGTCCCAGGCCCAGAGTTTCTGATTTAGTTAATTTGGAGTGAGGCCTAAAGATTTGCATTTCTAACTGATTTAGCTGGTCTGAGTAGCAAACTTTGAGAACTGCTGCTAGTATTTTCTTTCTTTTTTTCTCTGAGACAGTGTCATGCTACGTCGTCCAGGCTGGAGTGCAGTGGCACAATCTTAGCTCACTGCAACCTCCGCTTCCCGGGTTCAAGCAATTCTCCCTGCCTCAGCCTCCCGAGTAGCTGGGATTATAGGCGCCCGCCACCACGCCTGGCTAATTTTTGTATTTTCAGTAGAGACAGGGTTTCGCTATGTTGGCCAGGCTGGTCTTGAACTCCTGACCTCAGGTGATCCGCCCGCCTTGGCTTCCCA
Source organism: Homo sapiens (assembly GCF_000001405.40). Lineage (NCBI taxonomy): Eukaryota > Metazoa > Chordata > Mammalia > Primates > Hominidae > Homo > Homo sapiens. The sequence continues at coordinate 168,036,297 of NC_000003.12, read as the reverse complement.
AAGTGCTGGGATTATAGGCGTGAGCCACCACACCTGGCCGCTGCTAGTATGTCTGAGAAAGGCTTTAATGGCTTTGTCTTTATTCATGTAGGTTTATTTGTCTTCAAGGAGTTGTAGTATCTGAGTTTTTCAAGGTTGGGGATTTTGCGGGGGTTAGGGTGAGAACGTTAAATGATCATGAGGATTTTATGTGACAGTCAACCCACTCAAATATTAAAGTTAATAATATATTTTAACTTGGAGCAGTGCTAGGTCTACACAGAGCATGTCAAAATTTGAATTAAATGACCTGTTTGACACTCCTACGGGTATGAGTGCTAGTCAAATAATACACCTTTTTATATTCTTGTTCTTTATAAAAATTAAGCCTTAAGAATATCTCATAAGTGAGACATCAGAAGTAGTTACCATTACCACTAATTTCTACAAAGGTTGTTTTTTTTTTTTCCAATCATCTGTAATAAAAAAATAGGCAATATGGTTATCTTTCTGACAAAGTGGTTGTTTTAAACTTTTAAGTTCAGGGGTACATGAGCAAGTTTGTTACGTAGGTAAACTGTGTCATGGGAGTTTGTTGTAAAGATTATCTTATCACCCAGCTATTTAGCCTAGTACCCATTAGCTATATTCCTGCTCCTCTCCCTCCACCTTCTGATAGGCCGTACAGTGTGTTGTTCCCCTCTATGTGCTTATGTGTCTCATCATTTAGCTCCCACTTATAAGTGAGAACATGTAGTATTTGACTTTCTGTTCCTGTGTTGGTTTGCTACAGATGATGGCCCCCAGCTCCATCCATGCCCCTGCAAAGGACATGATCTTGTTCTTTTTTTATGACTGCATAGTATTCCATGGTGTTTATGTATCACATTTTTCTTTATCAAAGTCTATAATTGGTGGGCATTTAGGTTGATTCCATGTCTTTGCTATTGTGAATAGTGTTGCAGTGAATGTGTCTTTATAATGGAATGATTTCTATTCCTCTGGGCATATACCCAGTAATGGGATTTTGCTGAGTCAAATGGTATTTATATCTTTAGGTCTTGGAGCAGTCTCCACACTGTCTTTCATGATGGTTGAACTAATCTGCACTCCCACCAACAGTGTATAACCATTCCTTTTTCTTCACAACCTCGCCAGAATCTGTTATTTTTGACTTTTTAATAATAGCTCTTCTGACTGGTGTGAGATAATATCTCATTGTGGTTTTGATTTGCATTTCTCTAATGATCAGTGATGCTGAGTTGTTTTTTTTTTTTTTTTGTATGATTGTTGGCCACATATATGTTTGTGTTAGTCCGTTTTCATGCTGCTCATAAAGACATACCCTAGACTGGTTGATTTAAAAAAGAAAGAAGTTTAATTGGACTTACAATTCCACATGGCTGGGGAAGCCTCACAATCATGGTGGAAGGCCAGGAGGAGCAAGTCCCATCTTCCATGGATGGCAGCAGGCAGAGAGAGAGAGCTTGTGCAGGGTAACTCCTCTTTTTAAAACGATCAGATCTTGTGAAACTTGTTCACTATTGTGAGAGCAGCACGGGAAAGACTTGACCCCATGATTGAGTTACCTCTAACCGGGTTCTTCCCACAACACGTGGGAATTCAAGATGAGATTTTGGTGGGGACACAGCCAAACCATATCAGTGTCTTCTTTTGATGTGTGTGTTCATGTCCTTTGCTCACAAAGTGGTTTTTAACATTAAAGAGAAGACTGAGAAAACTTTCCTCCAAGTTATGGGAATAATTAAGTTGATATGAGTAGACTTCATATATGAGCCTCTTCACTCTGTTCAGGGTATTCCTTCAACAGACAGGTTCAGTATCTTCATGGACTCTTATTCTTTCTCAGGCTCTTATGTTAATAACTAAAGAGAGCATGACCAGATCACTGGCCTGGCAGTTGGTTCTATTTTCTGCCCTTGTCAGACTGCCAGTTTACTGGATTAATCTTCCAGTGACTCAGATCTTCAGTTTTTCCATCTCTGAGGTGGAGATAGGAGTTATCTGCACTAACCTTCCTCACTAGGATATTGTGAAGATAAATGACAAGTGTTTGAAAGTACTTAGAGCTCTTTAGAGAAATATTTTTCTGTAAAGCCAGGGCAGTATTATGTCAAACTTGCCAGATATGTGAGGATGTCGGTGGAATGTGCAACTCCAGTTGTCCTCAAATGTCTGAGAAAGGACTTTTCTCCCCAGTTTATTAATACAGTCCAATTTCTCAGATTTGATAATTATATCTCTGCTAATTTAAGAATAGGATTTCACATTTATTTCAATTTTGGGAGAGCAGTCTAACCAAAGAAGATTTTTTTTTCTGAAGGTTAAAGAGAAAAAAAGAGTGACGTTTGTTTCTGTTGATATACTATATTCTCTTTCTTCCTCACTTTCTAGGTAGTGCAGATCATATAGAGATCGCTGAAACTTATAGGGAGAACTGATTTGAGTCAACTAATTTTAGAGGAGGGTTATTCTGAAAAAGCCATTTCTTCTTTTTCTGCTCAGGGTTTTCAATATTAGCAATAAAAAATGTTTACAAAAGAGTCCTGCTGGTTTACAAATAATTACTACTTTAATACATTAAAAATATTTTATTGTATCTTGTTTAACAGGCACTGTGTTGAACTAACATGGATGTTCATTAGTAATGGCATTCTTTTTTTTTTTTTTTTTTTTTTTTTTTTTTTTTTTGAGACGGAGTCTTGCTCTGTCGCCCAGGCTGGAGTGCAGTGGCGCAATCTCGGCTCACTGCAAGCTCCGCCTCCCGGGTTCACGCCATTCTCCTGCCTCAGCCTCCCGCGTAGCTGGGACTACAGGCGCCCGCCACCACGCCCGGCTAATTTTTTGTGTTTTTTTAGTAGAGACGGGGTTTCACTGTGTTAGCCAGGATGGTCTCGATCTCCTGACCTCGTGATCCACCCGCCTCGACCTCCCAAAGTGCTGGGATTACAGGCGTGAGCCACCGCGCCCGGCCAATGGCATTCTTTTTTAAATTAGTAAACCAAACTAGTAAAAACTAAACCCAACTCCTCAATTTTATTTCATCCTTCTCTTTTCAAATAATTACTGAAAACAAAATTTACATTGAAGAAAATTATGTAAACATTTCATCACTTGAAGTTTGAGGTTTTGTTCCTTTTTATTCTAAGGGAAAATAGGAATTAGAGTACTTCTGAGATATTGGTTACTTGGAGGTTTTATTTTCCAGGTTATTTACTGTATTCTTCACAGATGAAGTTTTGCTTATATTATGTCTATTTTATAAGTGAGATTACACAGTAAGAAACTTAAGTGACTCCATTGCAGCCATAAAGCCAGGACTATATATATTTCTAGACACCTTCTTCTGTTGTAGCCCCATGCCCCATAGACATGGAAATCAAGAAATTACATCATTACTTTTGAAATTGGAAGAGTGTCATTCCCAGTGATGTGCTTGGCCTAGGTGTCTCGAAATAATGATGTGTGGCAGAACCATGAAGCAGTTCCTGGAAGAGCAGAAGACACAAAACTCTATGCTCCCACCCATAAGGAGGCAGAATTTCAGGCTCCCCCAGAGCCAATCCAACAAGAAGTGGAACGCAGAGAACCTGAGGAGCATCAGGTGGAAGAGGAGCACAGAAAGGCCCTGGAGGAGGAAGAAATGGAGCAGGTCGGGCAAGCAGAACATCTTGAGGAGGAACACGATCCATCACCAGAGGAGCAGGATCGGGAGTGGAAAGAGCAGCATGAGCAACGAGAAGCAGCCAACCTCCTGGAAGGGCACGCGCGTGCTGAGGTATGAAGTCACCCGCTTCTGGTATGGTGTACTGGGATGGAAAACCTGGCTTTATTTTTACATATTAAGGTAATATATCACAATCTCTAAAATAGAAATGTGAGTGATTCTACTAAACATTATATGCTCATATTTAAGTTTTCTCTTGTAATGTTAATAGCATAGCTATTCGCATACCTCAGAAAGATGATTGGTGATGAGAGAGCACAGCTGTTGTATGTGTGCATTCTTCTTTTTGTCAGTTGTACACAGTCAGAGATTCATTCTCACATCACCTTAATAGAGTAGAACAGGTGAGTACCTGATGGGGCACCTTCCCAGCTTGTACCCAAGTTTTGTCTTGAGCATCTTGAGGCAGAGAAAAATCTCATTTTCTATGATCAGGCGTCCTCCTCTCCCTGTTCATTTATTGTCAGTATGTTGCCTTTTGTATTCACCTTCAAGGTGGTTATTTAATTATCAAAAATCTGATTTTACTACTTGGAGATATTCTACTAGGTGAGCATATCTAAACAGCCTCTGCTCAGGATCCCTTACTGGACACGCCACTTACACGTAAGACTTTTCCCTTTCTTAAAAAAAAATGGCCAGGATTATTATAAATGATGCTTTAAAAGAAAACTCTACCCTTTCTTCTTTTAAACCAACAGTTAGTGCAGCTAGATGCCTTTCTTTTACTGTCTCTAAACTGAGTCTCAATAGTAGGTTACCTGGCCTTTACATGGGTGTGGATCACCTTCTATTTATAACTCTGAAGTTTTATTCGGCCTCAGATTTTCTGAGACTTCAAGCCGCTTGAGGCTTTAGGCTAAGCAGGTGTGAAGACCTCTGTAGTTGCCCTCTTAGGTAGTTGCAAACTTAACCTCAGAAAGCTTCTTCCAGTCTTGTGTCCTTCCCCAATAGGGGAAGTAATTCCCCACCAGCTTTACTTCCCAACCCTCTACCTCTTTCCTTAAGTGAGAATTGTGTGTGCTTTTGTTAGTTGGGGTATGGCAGGGAGGATGGGTAGTAGCTCAATGGGGTACAGACACTTTTTATTGATGCATAATATATGTATATATTTTCAGAGTATGGGCGATATTTTGAAACATTCATATAATGTATAATGATCAAATCTAGATAACCCATCACATCAAACCTAGATAACCCATCACATCAAACATTTATCTCTTTTTTATTTTGGGAGCATTCAAATTCTTCTAGCTGTTTTGAAATATAAGATAGATTATTGTTAATCGTAGTCACCCTACTGAACTACCAAACATTAGGTCTTATTCCTTCTCTCTAACTATATGTTTGTACCATTCATCAGTCTCTCTTCATCCCCCTTCCCAGCTTCTAGTAACCACCAATCCACTCTATCTTATCAATATCGCTTTTTTAAGCTCCTACATGAATGAGAATATGCAATGTATGTCTTTCTGTGCTTGAAGTTTTTCACTTAACATAATGGCCTCCAGTTCCATCCATGTCACTGCGTATGACAAGATTTCATTCTTTTTTATGACTGTGTATATGTACCACATTTTCTTTATCCATTCATCCGTTGATGGATGCTTAGGTTGATTTCATGTTTTAGCCATTGTGAGTAATGCTGCAATAAACCTGAGAGTGCAAGTATCTCTTCAATATAGCAATTTCCTTTCTTTTGGATATGTGCCCAGTAATAGGATAGCTGGATCATATGGTGGTTCTATTTTTAGCTTTTTGAGGAACCTCCATACTGTTTTTCATATTGGCTATACTAATTTACATTCTCACCAACAGCGTACGAGGGTTCCCCTTTCTCCACATCCTCACTAGCGTTTGTTGTTGCCTTTTTGATAAAAGCCATTATAACTGGGGTGAGATAATATCTCAGGGAAGCAGAGTTTTAAGAATTGCTGTATCAGATTTCCCTTTAATCAGAAGGCACCATCTTCTCAGCCATTCTTAGTTTCTTTGAAAAAAAATTGAATATCTGCTTTTCCACTATTACCTGGAATGTGGCTTTTTTTTTTTTTTTTTTTGGCTATGCTTAGCCTGGGATTGGTATATACATTACTAGAGTTAATTAGCATCCCTCGGTCTTTAACTGTTCATGGAAAAAGCCTTAGGCGTAGCATAAGGTCACAGATTGCCCAGTTAATGTGAAGTTACCAAAGTTACCAACTACTTGTTTATATCAGAGCCTTGTGAACATAAATTTTACAGTTTGAAACTGTTATCTTCGGTTGTCCCTTCTGTTCCATTTGAGAAGGGAGCACATTGAAAATCTGCCTTAATAGCAGTAGTTGGAAATATCAGCTGCTAAAAAAGCCAAGGGTGATTCAGAGAAAGTTGGGAAATAGGAGTTTTTGGACTTCATGTATAATCACAGTTCACCTGACAAATAGTCGTTAATAAACCAGCTCTGCCTCCTGAGTTTGTCAGGAGAAACAAATGAAGAGAAAACCCAGAGGAGCTAACCCCTCTTGCTCTGCACCAACTCTTTTTCACCCTAGGTGTACCCTTCAGCCAAGCCAATGATCAAATTCCAATCACCCTATGAGGAACAGTTGGAACAGCAGAGACTGGCAGTGCAGCAGGTGGAGGAGGCCCAGCAGCTGCGGGAACACCAGGAAGCTTTGCACCAGCAGAGGCTGCAGGGGCACTTACTACGGCAGCAGGAACAGCAGCAGCAGCAGGTGGCAAGAGAGATGGCCCTGCAGAGGCAGGCTGAGCTTGAGGAGGGCCGGCCGCAGCACCAGGAGCAGCTCCGGTAGCCTTCCCCTTCCTTAATGAACGAAGACAGCCCCTGCTCCAGTTTTCATACGCAAATTAAAAACAGTTTTGTGCATTTGTGATTCATGAAGTTAAGGGGCTCATATTGCTCAAATAGCCAAGGCAGGACAGCTACTTGAAAATTAAATACCAAATATTTAATTTTAAAAATAATATTTTTTTTCTGCTCAAAAGTGGTAGGTTAGGTCTCCAAATAGCCTTGCAGGCTTTGTGCCAACTTTATTTTATTTTATCTTTAAAAGATATTTTATCTTTTTAAGATACCTTTTGAAAGTGTATCTGGAATTTTTATTATACCTAATTGCATACATAAGAGGTTTTTAAAAATTTTTCATGGCTTCTTAAAAATGTTGAGAAACATTACTTATTACTGTCTTTAAAGATAAATGACCTATGTCAAACTGTGCCTCTGAATTTTGTCCCACTGGATTTATCATGTTTGTGTCTCTTGTAGGCAGCAAGCTCATTATGATGCTATGGATAATGATATCGTTCAGGGAGCAGAGGACCAGGGAATCCAAGGAGAGGAAGGAGGTGGTGAGACTTCCTAGATGATGAATGTTTTAATAAATTACTTGATAACATTGTATATTATCAGTGAGCCAATATTATATAACATCAATGAGCTGTATGCATACCTAAGTGCAAAGGAGGTTTGTGAATCATGTCTTTTTCTTAATCCTCTTAAACAGTACATGCTGGTAGTGAAAAATGCTCAAGATAATCTGTTTCCTCTCTATCATTTTCCCTGTAGTTTAAGCTTTTTATATACTAAATATTTATAATATTTCTGACAAATTATTATAGGATTATTATGCTTTGGGAAACATCTGCATTTTCTCCTTACCTTGGAAGTCCTCACATCATTGCCTTAAAATGTTTTCAAATTAAGTCAATAGTAGCTTTCATTTATGATAAGCACTTAATATGTAATTTATCAAATATTGCTTACTGTTATAATAGAACCAGAATGTAACTTACTGTCTCTCTGGCACCACTAACACTTAGATGTGTATCTTTTTCTAAAAAGTCAGAAAGAAAGTGATTACATACAACCTCCCTCAATAGCCCGTTGTGATATCTTACAGCTCTTACAGTCAAGAAATTGTTTTCCTTATGTCCGCCATGTGGCACTTTAAGCTTTTTTGTTCTCATATCAGTAAGACTAGAGAATGGCTTGTCCTCTTCTCTATGTAGTAAACCCCTTTGTGCACTTGAAGGCTGATGGTAAGTTACCCCGTATCATCATTTTCTCTAGGCTTAGTACACTCCATATACTTAAACTTTCCTCTTCTATCTTACTTGTTTTAAAAAGTGATTTGTTCTTCTCTTTTTGTGCTCATACAATTCTCTTTATCTAAATATTTTTTCAAAAAGCAGCAAGTAAATGTCTGAGTATGAATGTGTGCTGTTTCTGGGCTGTGGCGGTCATCATCATTACTGTGATGACATCAGAAAACATGTGATGGGCTATATTTGTTTCTGAGCTCCACAGATGGGGCAGTTCTTCCTTGCATTTCCTGAAACTATCAATTTCTTCTTTTGGAGCCCAGCTACTTCCTCTGATATTATCAAACATTAGTTGATTTCTTCAGCAGTGTCCAATCAACTGGGCTTTCTTTTATTGAGAGAGTTTTGATTGTTGTTGTTTTCTTGCATATGGGGGAAAAATTACAGCTCCTGTGAAAAATATTTATTTTAGAAGAAAAGTGTCTGACCCATATCATCTCTCTAGACACACAGTCTGTGAAGAGAACATAACCTTATTCAGAAAAGCCAGGACATAGGCCTTATGTTGAGTTAACAGAGGTGGAGGTATTGTAGTCTGTAGAAAAGTCCACTGGTGGCTTTTCTTTGAGTTGAAAGGGAAATCCTGTTTGATTCATTTTGGGCTGATTTTAGTTCCTTTGATTTGCTAGCCTATGAAAGAGACAACCAGCACCAAGATGAAGCAGAAGGAGATCCAGGTAATAGACATGAGCCTCGTGAACAAGGACCCCGAGAAGCCGACCCAGAATCTGAGGCAGATGTAAGTATCCTCTCTTCTGCCCCTGACACATGTAAACTCATAAGGTGGGAAAGAGAGTTGAAAACTTGCCTGATGCCAGCCTTCAGCCCCAGATATTTCTGTTATATCCTCAGCCCAGAAGGAAAATGGCTTGCATAATTATATATGGGCAGTGTTTTTAACTGTAAACCATGGTGTACGTGTATGTGATGAGCTGGTTTAAAAGTTGCTCTGGGGGAAAAAAAAAAACAAAACCAGGATTTTTTTTTTCTGATGACTTTTAGATTAATAAAACTAAAACCTAGAAAAGCAAAACTGAGAGACACTGAAATATGTAGTAACTCTGAAAGCTAGGAGGAATAAAAGGCAAGTGTGGAAGTTGGAGATGGGACCAGAGAAAGGAAACTAACCCTTCCTGAGCATGTTGAGCAGTCTGCTAGAGTGTTAGGTATTTGTGTGACTCTCTGTAATCTCTTAGCAGTCTAGTGACCATTTTAATAAATATATGGATAAGGATATGTGGTCTGAGACATGAAGAGTTGTTCAGGTATGCAATGGTACAGAAAATTTATAATATAAGTAGGTAGACATCTAATAACCAGCATTGTTGTTTGTGTTTACCAAAAAAGACTGAGACCTCTAGTTCAGCTGGGTGGGCTAGATCCTTGGCCCTGCCTACAAGTGAAGCAAGCAAATGTTTAGTGAGTCTGTTCCTGCGTGTATGCGTAGATGATTTTTACAGCTTATTTTAGCTGCCCTGTCATCTCTTGCTAATAGATCAACTACCATGTTTATAACAGTCGGTCTGTGCTATGTCACATGAGCCCTGATTAAAAGGAGGACCCATGTCCTTGCTAATCATCAAGAAAGTCATCCTGCTAGCTACTTAAAGCCCTTTTGCTGGAAACAGCTTTTCCACTTAACTTGCACTGAGATGTGGCAGAACACCTTTCCCTGGCATTCCTTGCATCAAGATTTCTGAAAATATGCTCCAGGGAACCTAGTCCTGAAATATTTTCAGGAAAAGGCTAATACTTGAGAGCAGAAACATATGAGAGAGCAAGAGACTATCCAGGAGAGAGCAAGAAAGCAAGTGTACAAAGGCCTGCAAATGTGCATGGGGTGGGAGGAAGGGCATTTCAGTCACTTGTTTGGGAACTGCTGTAGGCTTTGATTTCTTGACTATATGATCCTTTACTTTCCTGTCATCTGTTTGTTTGTTTTGGGGAACATGCTGGGAAACATTGGCCTTTGTACCATTCTTCCTTTTAATTAGAAATGGTTAATCCCACTTGTTCCTCTCTTTCTGTTTTATTTGAACGTAACAACTGTGCCTGCTAATTCATACCTGTTACGTGGTCGGAGTTGAGCTAGTCAATTTTATGAACGTTTGCAAAAGATATTTGGTACTTTTTTCTGAAAAGAATATGTTACATTTTTCCTGTAATTCCATACAAATTTTTGATAGTGCACTAAAGAAAATCCATATGACAAGAGATTGTGGAGTAATTAGAGTTTAGTGTGAAGGTGGTAATTTGGTAGTCTCTACGTTCCCAAGAATAGTGTCATTTGCACTGGAGTAACATTCATGGCCAGGGATGTGCAGATAATAGATCAGCTGAGATGGCAGTGAACTCTCAAACATGTTCAAGACTCCTAAGTGAATTGAAGTAGAATCTTGTCTGGAGAATACTGATAGAGACCAAATCCTACTCTGTGGCTTTACTGTCTCTTAGAAGCATTTACAGCTTAGTAAGTGTCCTATTGATGACCTGCGAGTGATTGGGGAAGCTCATGACAAGCATCACTGTTCCTCTCCATCTCAGGCTCTAAAATCTAAATCTTTATTAGGATGTGTATTATTTGGAAGGTGCTTTGGGAGCTTAAGTGGAAAATTGAAATAATTCTAAAGTTGATAATATGAAGGGCCTTTGTTGAGCACAGTAATTTGGGAGATGAGTTGGGAGGACATTTTTCATAATATATTGCCCTATTGGGCAGTTGGGTAGCTCAGCCCTTTTTAACTCCCATCCCTCGCCAGTTCAGCATCTCTCTGTTTCATGGGAATGATTGTTAATAAAGAAATTGGATCCATACTAGAAAATGACCATTTCCTTTTGAATTAGCCTTTTTCTTGTCTCCTTTTCGTATCCTTTTTATGGGTCCTTTCTGGTATGGGCCTTCTTTCCCATCAACAACTTTTCACCTGCTGACATGTTAAAAATTGCTTGCACAGGGAAGTTACTATAAAAATCAACATAGCAAAAAGAGTTAATTGCCCATCTAAATCCCCCACCTAAATTAGTATTTTTTTTGTCACTTGGTCCTCTGACTTTTATTAATTATTTTCTTGTTTATTCAGTTCTGTTCACATTACTTGTGTCAGTAGAGTTTTGAGAACTATTTTGAAATCACTTGCAGGAAAGAAGTGCTATTTGAACCTCATTCTGATTCATCAAGCCTCTGACAAGTAAAGCAGGAGTTTTCTCTTTTGACAGTGTGATGCTTGATTCTTGTGAGTCTTGGCAAGGATAGATCTGAACAATTGAGGGAAGGACAATTTCATTTTCTGCCAGTGGGCAGCCTTTTCAAATGAAATTAAACTTGATCCTCAGTTTTGAAGTGATAGTTGCTTTTTATTAAAATTTTACAGAGGGCAGCTGTAGAAGATATAAACCCAGCAGATGACCCTAATAATCAAGGTGAGGATGAATTTGAAGAAGCCGAGCAAGTGAGAGAAGAAAATTTGCCAGATGAAAATGAAGAGCAAAAACAAAGTAATCAAAAGCAAGAGAATACAGAAGTGGAGGAACATTTGGTGGTAAGCAGATGCCACGAGGAAGGGTGGATTTAACTGGGCTATTTTAAGAAACATCTGGTTTATGTAAAAGGTTAGTCATATTCCACATTGACGGAAGGTTTGCCACTTCGGTGGTTTTTAGGCCACTTTATGACATGATATGCCTGTACTCTGAGAGAGAGGGTAACGGACATCCTGGGCTTTGTATTGGGAATGATTACTCATCATTTCCTGGCCACAGACGCTTTGAAAGTGCCCTTTTCATGGTGGCATGCTTGTTCTTTGTCCCAGAGTACTGTGTAAAAGGCATCTCTGATGTACAGTAACATGAACCTGCCCTTTTGTTTCCAACAGATGGCAGGAAATCCAGACCAGCAGGAGGACAATGTTGATGAACAGTACCAGGAAGAGGCAGAAGAGGAGGTAGTAAGGATTGAATCCCAGAGACTGATCAGATTGGTCTGTCACACACACTAACCTTAAACAAACCTCAGCAGTATTGACTTTGACATGCCTTCCACAGAAATGTTCAGAAAAATTTAAGCAGGATAAGAAAGGGTGGTTTAAAGCAAAAATGGATCATGGCACTGGAGACATTTGGTTAGAAGATAACAAAAGCAGGGTAATAGAATCCATCTCTTTGGTTCTCACCTGAAATTTTGAATTAAGAAGGCATTTGGCTTTCCAGGAATGGTGGACTTAGATTTGTGCAATCTTTTGTAAGAATATTTTCTCCTCTCTCCCTCTGCACATTGAGGGAATCTGGACTGCCCCTGTAACTTTCTCTTCAGGCATCTCCCCAGTGCCTACCTCACAGGAATACCCCATAGTGTCTATCGGAATCCACTTAACACCCTCCAAACATTTTTGTAAATTTTACAGTCTCTCCTTCTGGCCTCTTCCTTCTTAAGAATTCAGTATCTTAATTAAATTTAACAATAAAAGAGGAGGAAAAAGATGTAAAGAGCTCAGCTGAATAAAATGCATTTGGATAGAGTTTCTTAATATTTTAGTTTGCTTTTCATTGTAAACTTCGGGCATCTTGTTGTTAATTAGATATAAGTAGCGTTTATTGTGGTGCTGCTTACGGTGTAGTTGATTATTGTGGTGCTGCATGTGGTGTAATTGGTGAATGCTGCTTGTTGTAGCCGTTTTATCACAGCATTCCGCTGCATAAACAACTGCAATATTTAAGAGTCTGATACAAATTAGGCCAAGACCCTGTATTTAGTCTCATTATGGACCAGTAAGTAGTTCCCAAATTAAAACCCTGGTTCAGAGCTGCTTCTCAGCCAGGTGTCTTGCAAATGTGTGGTTTTATCCCTATGGGGAACCCCATGGGAGGATGGACATATGGCAGACTGAACAGACACACCCCATCACTGGAGATCCTGTGCAGAAATCATGAGCTGTGCTCTCACACACACAGTTCCCTCGACTAGGTCTGCTTTCTTGTTCTTACTGATTTTGTAAGCTTTTCAGAGCTGATGATAAAATTTGTGCTTATACCAGGAAAACAGAAAAGGATGTTGCTCTTTAAGGTCACTGGCAACATTTCTAATAACATGCACTTTAACTGGCTTGATCTTTTTGTTCTTTGGTTTCTCATCCTAATCAAGACCCTTGGCTGTCTTGTCAGAAAGAGAGCAGCAGAGAAAATAGTGACCTTGAATATTAAGACATTGGGCAAGAAAAAGATATTCATCCAGGCTTCTCATATAACAGGATGTCTAGACTAATACCACTTTGTTTTATTATGTCCAATACTAGGAATCTTTGAGGGATTAAAAGAGAAAAGTTCACCTTGGCTTCTTTTTTAAAAATTCAGAAGATTAAACATAAAATTTTAACCAGTGTTTACTGATTCCTTTTCAATTTTATATTATGATCAGTTAAGGTACAGGAGAGAAATCCTGAGATCCAAGAGGAATCAAGAGTAGAAAGAGAAGAAAGAGGCAAGAGGAAAGGAGAAATGGTGCTAAGACAGAGGAGGTTGCCCTGGCTGAGTGCTGCCTAAACTCAGCAACTGCTCCTCATCCCACCAGTCATCCCCTTCAGATCTGCTGGACTGACAGGACTCTTCCTCTTGCTGCACCTGGCCCCAGGTCCTAATTCGGTTTACCTGGTTCCCTGCCAAAAATTCTTAAAGCAGTGTTCAGGCCTCCTCCAGCATGTGCTCCAGGTTACCACCCCATCACTGAGAACTGTTGCTCCATGTGCTCTTAGTGGAAGTCCCACGTGCCTTTTTTTCTTCCCAGTGTAAACTTTCCTCTCTGCCCCCGAGTGTCCCTTGTTCATGTTGTGTTGTATTTTTGTGTGTGGTTATGAGATGATTAATGTTTGCATCTTCCCACCTCTGTCCATCGTTCCCAGGTCTTCCCTTGAGAGAGGAGAAGAGTGGTTCCCAAATACCATTTAAGCACTAGTGATAGAGACAAAGTTCTTGTCAGACTATGGCAAAATGAGAAAAATAAAGGGGAACATAGAATATGGAAACACATACTGCATTGTTTATAAGTGCATATGTGTATGAAACCTCATTGGTGGAAGCACTCTGAAAAACCATGAAATGTTGTGGAACTGTGCATTATTGTTGTTGTTGTTTTTTTTTTTTTAATCTCCATTTAACCTTAGAGTCTTGCAGCTGCCCCAGCTAACCACTAGAATGCAAGGCCTGTGGCTGCCATCGCTTCCCTTCCTCTCCAGCGCACAAACTTATTTCTGTCAGCATTTCCTCCTGGGGAAGAATTGCCTCTTGCCTGGGCCACACCTGTTCAGAGGTATAGCCCATCAAACTTACAGACTTGGCCTCTAAGAGGACCCAAAAGAAGTATGATTTTAGGAAATTTATACTACTCTGCCTTCTTTTATCTTAGTGCAGTAGTGTTATCTTTCTAAGACTTACAAGCATTTCTTGTTTCTTGTTTGGGATTGTTTGAATGGAAGGCATGATCCCTTCCTTACGTTGCTTACATTCCAAACGTTTTATCGCCTTGTAAGCAAACAAGACAATTTATGGCATTGCCAAAAAGTGCCGTGTAAGCTTTAAAATTACTTACATGTTCAAAAATATATAGATTAAATGACCAAGAAATCAGAATACTTTAATTTCCCTCAGTGTAACTGAAAACTGATTAATCTGAACATGCAGAAGAGAATAAGTACAAGGCATTTGTTCACCTTCACTGGCCAAATATGTACGTACACCTACATGAGACTACCAGCCTGTGAATCACCGTGTCAAGAAGCTTTTCTTTTTTTTTTGTTTTTTGTTTTTTGTTTTTTGAGACAGAGTCTGACTGTCACCCAGGCTGGAGTGCAATGAGGTGATCTCGGCTCACTGCAACCTCCGCCTTCCGGGTTCAAGCAATTCTCCTGCCTCAGCCTCCCGAGTAGCTGGCATTACAGACTTCTGCCACCATACCCGGCTAATTTTTGTATTTTTAGTAGAGATGGGATTTCACCATGCTGGCCAGGCTAGTCTTGAACTCCTGACCTCAGGTGATCCTCCCACCTCTGCCTCCCAAAGTGCTGGGATTACAGGTGTGAGCCACCATGCCTGGCCAAGAAGCTTTTCGATTGGAAGAAACTCTCTTGTTAAAGCAGGGTGTTCGTCACTATAGCTAATGTTGCTGAAGGCCTTTTGTTCATCACATTCTATCTATCTCTTTGGATCCTACTGTTCTTACCTACTTGAGGCTCAGCTCTCTGCCCTGGCACACCCATAATATCTTCAATGTGTAAAAGAAAGGTGTTAATAGACACCAAGAGAGGATATCTAGCCAAAGCCCATTTCAGACTCTTCTCAGTGGACCTGTTTTATTTTGGATTTGGCCGTTTATTAAACTTTGTGTCATCAGATAAGGCTCATTTCTAAAATGCCTAGAACATATTTCAGTAGATAAAAATGAGTAACAAGAAGCATTGTTTGGGAAATCTGACAAAGCATTGTGACAGCTTTAGCAGGTTGCTAAGAGGGCCAGTTGTGGGAGACATAATCTGTATGTCTACATTATAAAAGAATATCATTTGGCTTCTGCTTATTATTCTAGTCATATTTTAAAGATCAGTTAGAACCTCCATATCATTTTGTTCCTTTACATTACTGAGAAGCATTACTTAAAGGCATTACTGCCTTTCAGATGAGTTTGCATTGCTTTTGCCCCAAATATCAGTAATATATTACTAGAATAATAATGTGTATTTAACTAAGAGTTTGTTCTCTATATGTGTGGAAAATTACAAAATTTTCATTTGTGGGTTCCCTAAAGAGTCGTTGAAATCAGTGGTCTCTAAATAAGATTATATTGACAACTGGTAAACAAGCTAAATTTTCTATAGCCCATCTCCAGAGACTAATGAGATAACCTAGCATCCATTACTCAAGGAAATAGTTCTTTGTCTTTGCTGTGAATAAGGATCACCTTGAAGAGTTTGTGGCATACACAGATTTCTGGACCAGACCCTTACCCTTGAGATTTTGATCTTATCTGTTATGGAACCTAGGAAGCAGAGTTCTTCATAAGTGCCCCTTCACCCGCCCACCACCAGCTGATTCTGACGGCTCAGGATCATACTGTTTAGAGAAATAGTCCTAGGGCAGACAGTTGTGGATGGCATCTGGGAAGTCTGAAACTCCTATCTGTGTATATATGCCCATTTGCTAAAGACTTTCTAACCAAAGTCTTAAAAGGGTCCATGACTCCCCAACCACACATACATACAGGAAATTAAGGATCATTGATTTTTCACCCAATGCTATTATTTTACATACAAGAAATTTGGGCTTCAGAGGGATTAGTTAAAAATTGGAAGGTTGCATAGCTTTTATTTATTGTTAGAAACATGATTAGAGCTCACCTAGGTCTGATTTTAAAGGCTACCGTAATTAAGTGTACCATGCACAGTAACTATATAGTTGATGTGGGGAAGTTCTTTATAGAAATTAGTGAATATAGACAGAACAATGGAAATACAAAGTGACCATTTTTTTTTGTAACCCCTAATTGAAGCAATTGATCTAAGCAACAGTCATCAATGAATGATGTTACTAGATGAACAGAGGTCAGGGAACTTTACCATGAAGGGATCAGGCTGTCACCACCTGAGCTCACTGGCCAACCTTAGCCTTACTAAAAGTGGGACAAATAAATGTGTGTGCCTCCTGATGTGATTTAAAAAATATGTGTGAAATATACACCATCACCTCTGAAATACCCTTATTTTTAAAATCGAACCTGAGTTCATTCAAACTTTTATGCTAACTTCCATTTATAGGAAATGTTGAGACTAGAGAAATGAGTTAAGTGATATAAAGAAGCAAATAAATTCAGAATGTGGGTCATTTTACAGTACTGCAAATCCATAGCAGTAGGGAAAAAAGGGGAGTGAATCCCATGTTATGTGTTCTTTTCCTTTAAATCATGATTAGAATATACCAACTGTAAACAGGCATTAGGACAATGATAAAAATGTAAGTATGGATGAGACATCAGATGCTACTATGGAATTATTTTATCAGGTGTGATAATCACAGTATGATTATATAAGTTGTTTATTGTTTTTAGATATATATACTGTGATACGTGAAGGTAAAATTACATATCTTGAATTTTTAAGAATAATTCACTGTAAAAAATAGAAAAGTGATAGATGATGCAGGTGTGGCAATATTGAAATAGCTTTTGAACATTGGAGGTGGCTCTAAGGGGTTTATTGAATGATTTTCTTCGTTTGCATGTGCTTAAAGATTTTCATAACAAAAACAATTGACCTTATGATTTATACAGTCAGAAAAGTTGCAGAGCCAAGTCTTTAGTCCAGGTCTTTCTGACTCCATAGTATATGTTAGGAGTTGGCAAACTACAGGCTGCAGCCTGGTTCATAAGTAAAGTTTTATTGGAACACAAACATGTCTGCTTGTTTACGTATTGTCTATAGTTTTTTGTTTTCTTTTTTTTTTTTTGTGCTACATAGAGTGGTCAAGTTGTATTGTGAGAGACCTTATGGCTAAGAAAGCCTAAGTATTTGCTATCTGGCCCTTCACACAAAAAGTTTGCTGATCTCTGATTTAGATATTCTTCCTGCCATACGGCATAGACTCAAGGCTGTTTTTTCCCCCAGTCTCAACTACAACATTTTAATGTTTATAAATAATATATTTTCATTATTAAGGCTGTAAAAGACATGTCTTTGTTAATCAAAATTGACAGGGACACTTCAGCAATTTAATGACGTTTCAATTAGTCAGACCTTAAGATAGGCCTGAAGTAAGTACTTCATTGTTTTCATCCCAATGTCCTGTGGAATGTCACTATGAGGTTCTACGACTATGGGCAGAGGAGATGTTATGGACCACTGATAGAACCATAAGGTGAGACAAGATAGGTCTTTAGCTCATTCCACCAGGAAATATGAATACAATAGATATTCGATGCCTTTGTCCTCAAAATGTATTTATTTTGAGGTTAGTTTAGAGGCTGTGGGTCAAACTGGCGTTGGACTGGTTAGAAGAGGTTCACAATGGTTTGGCTCTGCCCAGGGTATCTTTGAAGAGTCACCTTTGTAGGCTCTCGACAGGCCAAGTTTTGTCCAAAGCTCTTCTGTGAGGCTGCAGTTCATTCTTGTCTCACCTGGGCTGTACACCTTCAGGCAGCACGTAATTTGTTTCTTCTGAATTATAGCATCTGTATACTTTTCTTCCGTTGTTCATTTCTTAGATTTTTCCACAGTCTCCTCCACTCCCCCCACCAAAATAAGTGATTTTTGTGTTATTCAAGGATCTTATTCTCTGATCCTAGAAAAGATCGGACTTTCTTTGGTATTAGGAGACTGCATTATACTTAACCGATGTTCAGCAGTTTTTTTGAAATGCATTCAAGTGACTTAAACATTTTGGCATATGTATGGTTTTCAAAATAGTTAACAAGTTAGAAAATGCCCTACCCTGTATTTCTGTGAGATATGATCATTAAATAGAGACTATTTAGCACAAATATTTGGATGCTTGCTTTAGTTTACATTTTGAGATAAATATTGGGATCATTTACACAGTAATAATAGTGCACATGAATGAAAACTACTTAAAACAGAAAGGTTGTATTAGAACACTAAAGAGAGAGAGGAATTTTTGAGGCAGTTCAATAGACTATTTCATAAAGAAATTGAAATGATTGTATTTTATTTTCTAGATATCTTAGCCAGAGAAATATATTCTTAAGTATAGAATAGATACATAAAATTTCTACTATATTGTATGTAGGCAGCGGTGTCTATCCTTTGTGCCTTTACAGAGGATTTACAGAGGCCACAGGTTGGACAAGCTTGATCTAGATAGTGACTTGAATAAGACAGGCAGTTCCTGCCTCCATAGAACTTACATTGTGTCACAGCTCTCAAATTTCTACAGTTCTCCCATATACAGAAATGGGAATTTTAATTTTATTATTTTATTTTTGGGGAGACAGGGTCTTGCTGAGTCATCGAGGCTGTTGTGCAGTGACACAAACATAGCTTACTGCAACTTTGACCTCCAGAGCTCAATCGATCCTCTGCCTCAGCCTCCCGAGTAGCTGAGACTACAGGCGTGCACCACTAGGCCCAGCTAATTTTATAAATTTTTCTTTTTTGTAGAGACAGGGTCTCACTTTGTTTCCCAGGACTCAAATTCCTGGGCTCAAGTGATCCTCTTGCCTCAGTCCCACAAAGTGCTGGGATTACAGGTGTGAGCCACCACGCCTGGCCAGAATTTTTGATTTTACAAGCTAAATGTCTTCAGATGTTTTATATTTGGAATTTTAACCATTATTCAGATAAACCAGAAATTCAAACAGAAAAGTCCTACATTCAGGATCAATCACATTGATTTTTGTAATAGGTGTATTATACATTTCTTTTTTTTATTATTATTATACTTTAAGTTTTAGGGTACATGTGCACATTGTGCAGGTTAGTTACATATGTATACATGTGCCATGCTGGTGCACTGCACCCACTAACTCGTCATCTAGCATTAGGTATATTTCCCAATGCTATCCCTCGCCCCTCCCTCCACCCCACCACAGTCCCCAGAGTGTAATATTCCCCTTCCTGTGTCCATGTGATCTCATTGTTCAATTCCCACCTATGAGTGAGAATATGCGGTGTTTGGTTTTTTGTTCTTGCGATAGTTTACTGAGAATGATGTTTTCCAATTTCATCCATGTCCCTACAAAGGACATGAACTCATACTTTTTTATGGCTGCATAGTATTCCATGGTGTATATGTGCCACATTTTCTTAATCCAGTCTATCATTGTTGGACATTTGGGTTGGTTCCAAGTCTTTGCTATTGTGAATAATGCCACAATAAACATACATGTGCATGTGTCTTTATAGCAGCATGATTTATAATCCTTTGGGTATATACCCAGTAAGGGGATGGCTGGGTCAAATGGTATTTCCAGTTCTAGATCCCTGAGGAATCGCCACACTGACTTCCACAATGGTTGAACTAGTTTACAGTCCCACCAACAGTGTAAAAGCGTTCCTATTTCTCCACATCCTCTCCAGCACCTGTTGTTTCCTGACTTTTTAATGATTGCCATTCTAACTGGTGTGAGATGGTATCTCATTGTGGTTTTGATTTGCATTTCTCTGATGGCCAGTGATGATGAGCATTTTTTCATGTGTTTTTTGTCTGCATAAATGTCTTCTTTTGAGAAGTGTCTGTTCATGTCCTTCGCCCACTTTTTGATGGGGTTGTTTGTTTTTTTCTTGTAAATTTGTTTGAGTTCATTGTAGATTCTGGATATTAGCCATTTGTCAGATGAGTAGGTTGTGAAAATTTTCTCCCATTTTGTAGGTTTCCTGTTCACTCTGATGGTAGTTTGTTTTGCTGTGCAGAAGCTCTTTAGTTTAATTAGATCCCATTTGTCAATTTTGTCTTTTGTTGCCATTGCTTTTGGTGTTTTAGACATGAAGTCCTTGCCCATGCCTATGTCCTGAATGGTAATGCCTAGGTTTTCTTCCAGGGTTTTTATGGTTTTAGGTCTAACGTTTAAGTCTTTAATCCATCTTGACTTGATTTTTGTATAAGGTGTAAGGAAGTGATCCAGTTTCAGCTTTCTACATATGGCTAGCCAGTTTTCCCAGCACCATTTATTAAATAGGGAATCCTTTCCCCATTGCTTGTTTTTCTCAGGTTTGTCAAAGATCAGATAGTTGTAGATATGCGACGTTATTTCTGAGGGCTCTGTTCTGTTCCATTGATCTATATCTCTCTTTTGGTACCAGTACCATGCTGTTTTGGTTACTGTAGCCTTGTAGTATAGTTTGAAGTCAGGTAGTGTGATGCCTCCGGCTTTGTTCTTTTGGCTTAGGATTGACTTGGCGATGCGGGCTCTTTTTTGGTTCCATATGAACTTTAAAGTAGTTTTTTCCAATTCTGTGAAGAAAGGCATTGGTAGCTTGATGGGGATGGCATTGAATCTATAAATTACCTTGGGCAGTATGGCCATTTTCATGATATTGATTCTTCCTACCCATGAGCATGGAATGTTCTTCCATTTGTTTGTATCCTCTTTTATTTTCTTGAGCAGTGGTTTGTAGTTCTCCTTGAAGAGGTCCTTCACATCCCTTGTAAGTTGGATTCCTGGGTATTTTATTCTCTTTGAAGCAATTGTGAATGGGAGTTCACTCATGATTTGGCTCTCTGTTTGTCTGTTGCTGGTGTGTAAGAATGCTTGTGATTTTTGTACATTGATTTTGTATCCTGAGACTTTGCTGAAGTTGCTTATCAGCTTAAGGAGATTTTGGGCTGAGACAGTGGGGTTTTCTAGATATACAATCATGTCGTCTGCAAACAGGGACAATTTGACTTCCTCTTTTCCTAATTGAATAGCCTTTATTTCCTTCTCCTGCCTAATTGCCCTGGCCAGAACTTCCAACACTATGTTGAATAGGAGTGGTGAGAGAGGGCATCCCTGTCTTGTGCCAGTTTTCAGAGGGAATGCTTCCAGTTTTTGCCCATTCAGTATGATATTGGCTGTGGGTTTGTCATAGATAGCTCTTATTATTTTGAAATACGTCCCATCAATACCTAATTTATTGAGAGTTTTTAGTATGAAGGGTTGTTGAATTTTGTCAAAGGCTTTTTCTGCATCTATTGAGATAATCATGTGGTTTTTGTCTTTGGCTCTGTTTATATGCTGGATTACATTTATTGATTTGCGTATATTGAACCAGCCTTGCATCCCAGGGATGAAGCCCACTTGATCATGGTGGATAAGCTTTTTGATGTGCTGCTGTATTCGTTTTGCCAGTATTTTATTGAGGATTTTTGCATCAATGTTCATCAAGGATATTGGTCTAAAATTCTTTTTTTTTGTTGTGTCTCTGCCTGGCTTTGTATCAGAATGATGCTGGCCTCATAAAATGAGTTAGGGAGGATTCCCTCTTTTTCTATTGATTGGAATAGTTTCAGAAGGAATGGTACCAGTTCCTCCTTGTACCTCTGGTAGAATTCGGCTGTGAATCCATCTGGTCCTGGACTCTTTTTGGTTGGTAAGCTATTGATTATTGCCACAATTTCAGCTCCTGTTATTGGTCTATTCAGAGATTCAACTTCTTCCTGGTTTAGTCTTGGGAGAGTGTATGTGTCGAGGAATTTATC
Source organism: Homo sapiens (assembly GCF_000001405.40). Classification (NCBI taxonomy): domain Eukaryota; kingdom Metazoa; phylum Chordata; class Mammalia; order Primates; family Hominidae; genus Homo; species Homo sapiens. The sequence continues at coordinate 168,014,297 of NC_000003.12, read as the reverse complement.
CATTTCTTCTAGATTTTCTAGTATATTTGTGTAGAGGTGTTTGTAGTATTCTCTGATGGTAGTTTGTATTTCTGTGGGATCGGTGGTGATATCCCCTTTATCATTTTTTATTGCATCTATTAGATTCTTCTCTCTTTTTTTCTTTATTAGTCTTGCTAGCGGTCTATCAATTTTGTTGATCCTTTCAAAAAACCAGCTCCTGGATTCATTAATTTTTTGAAGGGTTTTTTGTGTCTCTTTTTCCTTCAGTTCTGCTCTGATTTTAGTTATTTCTTGCCTTCTGCTAGCTTTTGAATGTGTTTGCTCTTGCTTTTCTAGTTCTTTTAATTGTGATGTTAGGGTGTCAATTTTGGATCTTTCCTGCTTTCTCTTGTGGGCATTCAGTGCTATAAATTTCCCTCTACACACTGCTTTGAATGCGTCCCAGAGATTCTGGTATGTTGTGTCTTTGTTCTCGTTGGTTTGAAAGAACATCTTTATTTCTGCCTTCATTTCGTTATGTACCCAGTAGTCATTCAGGAGCAGGTTGTTCAGTTTCCATGTAGTTGAGCGGTTTTGAGTGAGATTCTTAATCCTGAGTTCTAGTTTGATTGCACTGTGGTCTGAGAGAAGTTTGTTATAATTTCTGTTCTTTTACATTTGCTGAGGAGAGCTTTACTTCCCAGTATGTGGTCAATTTTGGAATAGGTGTGGTGTGGTGCTGAAAAAAATGTATATTCTGTTGATTTGGGGTGGAGAGTTCTGTAGATGTCTATTAGGTTCGCTTGGTGCAGAGCTGAGTTCAATTCCTGGGTATCCTTGTTGACTTTCTGTCTCGTTGATCTGTCTAATGTTGACAGTGGGGTGTTAAAGTCTCCCATTATTAATGCGTGGGAGTCTAAGTCTCTTTGTAGGTCACTCAGGATTTGCTTTATGAATCTTGGTGCTCCTGTATTGGGTGCATATATATTTAGGATAGTTAGCTCTTCTTGTTGAATTGATCCCTTGACCATTATGTAATGGCCTTCTTTGTCTCTTTTGATCTTTGTTGGTTTAAAGTCTGTTTTATCAGAGACTCGGATTGCAACCCCTGCCTTTTTTTGTTTTCCATTTGCTTGGTAGATCTTCCTCCATCCTTTTATTTTGAGCCTATGTGTGTCTCTGCACGTGAGATGGGTTTCCTGAATACAGCACACTGATGGGTCTTGACTCTTCATCCAATTTGCCAGTCTGTGTCTTTTAATTGGAGCATTTAGTCCATTTACATTTAAAGTTAATATTGTTATGTGTGAATTTCATCCTGTCATTATGATGTTAGCTGGTTATTTTGCTCGTTAGTTGATGCAGTTTCTTCCTAGTCTTGATGGTCTTTACAATTTGGCATGATTTTGCAGTGGCTGGTTCCGGTTGTTCCTTTCCATGTTTAGCGCTTCCTTTAGGAGCTCTTGTAGGGCAGGCCTGGTGGTGACAAAATCTCTCAGCATTTGCTTGTCTGTAAAGGATTTTATTTCTCCTTCGCTTATGAAGCTTAGTTTGGCTGGATATGAAATTCTGGGTTGAAAATTTTTGTCTTTAAGAATGTTGAATATTGGCCCCCACTCTCTTCTGGCTTGTAGAGTTTCTGCCGAGAGATCCGCTGTTAGTCTGATGGGCTTCCCTTTGAGGGTAACCCGACCTTTCTCTCTGGCTGCCCTTAACATTTTTTCCTTCATTTCAACTTTGGTGAATCTGACAATTATGTGTCTTGGAGTTGGTCTTCTCGAGGAGTATCTTTGTGGCGTTCTCTGTATTTCCTGAATCTGAACGTTGGCCTGCCTTGCTAGATTGGGGAAGTTCTCCTGGATAATATCCTGCAGAGTGTTTTCCAACTTGGTTCCATTCTCCCCATCACTTTCAGGTACACCATTCAGACGTAGATTTGGTCTTTTCACATAGTCCCATATTTGTTGGAGGCTTTGCTCATTTCTTTTTATTCTTTTTTCTCTAAACTTCTCTTCTCGCTTCATTTCATTCATTTCATCTTCCATCGCTGATACCCTTTCTTACAGTTGATTGCATCGGCTCCTGAGGCTTCTGCATTCTTCATGTAGTTCTCGAGCCTTGGTTTTCAGCTCCATCAGCTCCTTTAAGCACTTCTCTGTATTGGTTATTCTAGTTATACATTCTTCTAAATTTTTTTCAAAGTTTTCAACTTCTTTGCCTTTGGTTTGAATGTCCTCCCGTAGCTCAGAGTAATTTGATCGTCTGAAGCCTTCTCTCAGCTCGTCAATGTCATTCTCCATCCAGCTTTGTTCTGTTGCTGGTGAGGAACTGTGTTCCTTTGGAGGAGGAGAGGCGCTTTGCTTTTTAGTTTCCAATTTTTCTGTTCTGTTTTTTCCCCATCTTTGTGGTTTTATCTGCTTTTGGTCTTTGATGATGGTGATGTACAGATGGGTTTTTGGTGTGGATGTCCTTTCTGTTTGTTAGTTTTCCTTCTAACAGACAGGACCCTCAGCTGCAGGTCTGTTGGAATACCCTGCCTTGTGAGGTGTCAGTGTGCTCCTGCTGGGGGGTGCCTCCCAGTTAGGCTGCTCAGGGGTAAGGGGTCAGGGACCCACTTGAGGAGGCAGTCTGCCCGTTCTCAGATCTCCAGCTGCGTGCTGGGAGAACCACTGCTCTCTTCCAAGCTGTCAGACAGGGACATTTAAGTCTGCAGAGGTTACTGCTGTCTTTTTGTTTGTCTGTGCCCTGCCCCCAGAGGTGGAGCCTACAGAGGCAGGCAGGCCTCCTTGAGCTGTGGTGGGCTCCGCCCAGTTGGAGCTTCCCCACTGCTTTGTTTACCTAATCAAGCCTGGGCAATGGCGGGCGCCCCTCCCCCAGCCTTGCTGCCGCCTTGCAGTTTGATCTCAGACTGCTGTGCTGGCAATCAGCGAGATTCTGTGGGCGTAGGACCCTCCAAGCCAGGTGCGGGATATAATCTCGTGGTGCGCCGTTTTTTAATCCCGTCGGAAAAGCGCAGTATTTGGGTGGGAGTGACGCGATTTTCCAGGTGCCGTCCGTCACCCCTTTCTTTGACTCGGAAAGGGAACTCCCCGACCCTTTGAGCTTCCCAAGTGAGACAATGCCTCGCCCTGCTTTGGCTCGCGCATGGTGCGCGCACCCACTGACCTGCACCCACTGTCTGGCACTCCCTAGTGAGAGGAACCTGGTACCTCAGATGGAAATGCAGAAATCACTGTCTTCTGCGTCGCTCACACTGGGAGCTGTAGACCGGAGCTGTTCCTATTCGGCCATCTTGGCTCCTCCCTTATACATTTCTTCACACCTAGTAGATAAATCCTTGACATATTTTTTCAATTGTATATTTACTTTAATTTTGCTTCTGCTATTTTGAGTGAACTTTTTGGAAATCAAAATATATTATTGCAAGTCTTTAAATGATAACAGTGTCAAAATATATTATCGCAAGTGCTTGAAAGACAAAAGTGTTTAAATGATATCTGTGGTTTGTTTTAGGTTCAGGAAGATTTGACTGAAGAGAAAAAAAGGGAACTGGAGCATAATGCTGAAGAGACCTATGGTGAAAATGATGAAAATGTATGACCGGGATACATATTTCTATTGAGCACTTGAGTGTTTGTGGGTGTGCATGTGTATAGGAGAGATATATGTATTTGGGATACGTACCAGTGGGTAATGGTACCTCTGAGTTACCACTGAATTTAACAGGCCCACCTGAAATTAGGAAAAGTTGTGACAACATGAAAAGTAGGAGAGACAGCAGCACTGTTGCTTACATATCATTTTTCTTCCTTTTTTTTCCTCCAAAAATGAGTAATTTTTCATCCTGTTTTTAGAGAGAATTATTTATCACTAACTCTATACTATCTCTTAGTTTTTCTTTTTTCTTTTAATTTTAAGACTGATGATAAAAATAATGATGGAGAAGAGCAAGAAGTTCGAGATGACAACCGCCCCAAAGGCCGAGAGGAACACTACGAGGAGGAAGAAGAGGAGGAAGAAGACGGGGCTGCAGTTGCTGAGAAATCACATCGAAGAGCTGAAATGTAGCGGCACCCAATTTCTAGACAACGCTCAGCCAACGGATTCTTTTCAAGCTGCTCAAACATAAATCTGCCTACTGAACTCTAGGATATTTAATTACAAAAATTAAGAACTTAGACTTTTTTAAAACTTTTGTATTAGAAATGCGCATACATTTATATGAATATATTTTGATAACGTAGGTCTAGAGCTTCTTTTATATTCAAGCTAAACATGAAAAAGAAGAAAAACAATAAAGTAAACCTGAGCCCCCACGTCCCAATTTTTTTAATAGATTATGTGATGTTGGAAAGCTCATTGATTTTGTATATGTTTCAGCGTGTTACCTTTCTGGCTTCCAGTTCCCAGGTGTTCTTTGTTTGCCTTTGATAAAATACAGGATTTAAGAACAGAGAGTACTGCAAAATGCCATGCAGACTTTAAAGAGAATGGCCTGTTTACTAATTGCTGCCCTTCTGATGTCTTTATGTATAGCTCTGATAGAATTTTCACCAGTCTATGTATCTCTGGAGTGAGATCTATGTACAAAGTGACATACAATTGGAAATCCATTTTTGTTGTAAAGACATTGTTTTTCAGACTTTTCAGATCAATTAGAAAAATGTCATTGCTTTAAAATCATAGCTGTTCTGTTTAAGAGGAATTGAATTTAAAAATGAGAGAGTATTAAAACTCATGTGGCAGTATCCTGGTCTTAATCAGGTATTGCAGTGTTCAAACAAGGTATGGACACATCAACATATTCACCTTTTGGAAGGACTAGTGACTTGGTTAAAAACTAATGAGTGTTTGCGTGTGGTGTTTCTATGCGAGCACCCATTCTCAATTTTTTTTTTTTTTTTTTGTTTGAAGCCATTGATTGATATTCTTGTTTCAGTGTCTGGTTCCCTATAAGTAATATATATTTCCTCTTTAAGCTCTGTGCCTCAATATGCAATCACTTTGATAATAAGTATAAATATGAAGACATACCAAACTGCAAATAGGATTATTTTTCAAAACTATATGGTGAAACATATGGTGATATGATAGACTTATGGTTTTTCTGTTTGCTGGGATTGGGTCTGCTTTTTGCCTATGTGTAAGGCATTTTAATCATTGTGAATATAATAGATTCCTTAAAATAAGAAAATTAAAAATCAGAAACTTCCCTTGGAGTAGAGACATTTCAGTTGCAAGCATAAAGATTTTTAAATATATAACACTAGGTTATATAATTCATATATGTGTGGTTTTGTATTAATAATCAAATTAATAAAAACATTTCATTTTCTACCATTGTATGAACGTAATTTTATTTTTTAATAACCACACTCATAGATGGTTTTGATTGTTCCAGTTGAGTGATTGTGTATGTACGCATAGGAATGTTTTGTTCAGTTGTACTTTGTATTTCCAATAATCAGAAATCTTACCTTTATGTATAAAAACCCATTATGTAATGTAAAATGTATAATATTGTACATAATATTCAGAATACAATTATTTTGGTAAATTAGCTTGTATTTTTAATGTCCCAGTTGCAGTATTTAATTATTTGAACCATACTGAAAGTTGGTAATAGTCAATAAAGCTAAAAAAAAAAAGTGGCAAATCTTTTAAACTATGTGGTCTCTTATTAGTTTATGACCTTCTAACATTCTTCACTTCTTTTTCATAAAAAGAAAAATTTTAAGAGATACCAATATAAATTAATGAATTATAAAGTGCCTTTTCCCACCTGCTTCTGTTTTCTGTATCTTTCTCTACTTGGATTGGCATGTGATTTTCCCTTCTTTTTCTAAAGAAAGAGCTAAAGATGTTTATTTTATTTGAGCTAGCTCTGAGGGAAGAAAAAAGAAATGGGGCAGAATGTATGAGAGTGTCATGTGCATGCACACACAAAAAATAAATGAAAAACTTTAAATCCCCTTAGGAAAGCAACAATCACAAACCATTCTACTCTCTGTATAGCACCAAGTTACAGAGCCATTCTAACTAATGTGTAGAGGAGAACTAATCAGCCTGAGCTGATCTACGTTAATGAGGTGACAAGAAATAAAATGTCACCAGTATTTATTCTGCCAGTCTGTGACTTTGGTGCAACCAATAAATCAAAGGATTTGGTACCAAGAGTATAGTCGGGGTGGGGGGTGGGGGTTGTGGGAGGAAGGCACGTTTATTGGCAATGAGTATAACGGGGCACAACAAAACTAGTACACATGCAATGACTGGTTATTTGCAAGAGTGATTGGGAAGAGTTCTAGGAGTAAAAGCATAATCTTAGCCACATGTGCCAGTGACTTAATTTTACAAAGGAAAACTTGACGTGTATTGAATGCCCTCATAGTGTAAGAAGTATGTGAATAGGATCCACTTCAATCCCCACAGTATTCCTGTAAGGTTGATGGAATCCGCTTCTCACAACTGAAGAACCTTGTCTTCCAAAGCACTTAACATTTAACTTCTTTTAATGCTTAGTTTTGTTTTTAGTTCTATTACATTGTAGTACATCTATACTATGTCATCTTACACAGCCATTAAAAAGAGTGAGTTAATTCTATTTCTCAATCACCTTCTGTGGTTTCTGTTTTACTGTTTTCTCCTAGTTTTTTCCTAGCATACTGACTACATTATCTTTTTTTACAGGTTCTTCTTATGCCTGCTCTTTCAATATTAGTGTTCCTCAGGTTTTGTACTAGAGGTATTTTTTCTGTTCAATCCTCTTCCCATCTATGTGTTATACAAATGTCTTGAATCCATTTCCTTAGCCTAGCTTTCTGTGTCCCATCCTATGTAAAATATGTAAGTTTCAAAACTGAATTTACCTTGTTAAAACCTGCTTCTCTTTCTAGGCTTTCTGTCTCAACTCATGACGTTTCCCAAAACAAAAACATGTTGTTTGTCCTTGATTCTGTCTTCTCTCCTTTTGACTGCTACCAAAAATATCCTCAGATTTGCCCACTTCTCTCCATACTCACTATTCTGGTTCAGACCCCTGTTACCTTTCACATGGACTAATATAACTGTTCTCTAACTCATTTCTTCATTTACTCTCTACTGCCAATCCCTAAAATCTGTACCAGTGTGATTTTTCTAAGGATACCACACCTACCCCATTATAAAATTTAACAAATTGCTATTGCTCATAGGAAAAAATCCAAACTAATTAACATAACCTACATAATTCTTTATGATCTGGCCCCATCTTATCCCTTCTAATACTGAATCATAATAAATGTGATTAATCTTTGTCAAGCACATTCCTCTCCTAATGTCTTGGTGTCTGACCTTAACCCATGTGTGGATGGGAAATTGACTTTTGCAGTGTTCGTAATACTATCCCATCTCCTTGGACAAAGTGCTTGATAGAGGACAGGCACTTGACCTCAAATACATCAATTTTGATTCCTTCCCTGGAATTTTTTGTTGGAAGCCAATCCCTCCATGGAGTTTCTACGCAGCTTGTGACAGTTTTTATCCTAGACTGTGTTTTCAATGATACCTGCACAGCAAAAAGCCTTGGAAGCTAGAGATAGTATCTCCTTCTGGGTTGGAGGGCAGATTTGTTTCTTGACTTGAATAATAAAGATGATGTCTTCCTTTGAGAAAAAGTTTAGACAGGTTTGACAGCAGCTTCTTTGTAAGATGAGGGTTTCCTAAGATCAGAGATCCTCAGCTATGACAGATGCCCACTGTGTGTGCAACATCCACTTGGGCTGCTCTGCATGGACCTCATGGCACCTGGAGACTAAGGGGAACTGATGTGAACATGAAGCTCACGACTGCTGCTGGATCATTAGAAATGGAGTCCTTTGTCTCTGACCCAGCAGTGTAGTTCCTTCTGCCAACATCCATGAAACTGCAGCAGGCAAACTTGTTAGTTGTAAGGTGGATAAAATCTCATACGCTGCACAATCATTGGCATTTTTGCAGGCTGTGGCAAATAGAAGAGAGCAGCTCTGTTTTCTCTCCCAATGGTAAAACTACTATGTCATGAATTCAGTGCTTCTGGTGTTCATTTACTTCGTTGTGTGGAAAAAAAATAGTCTATAAAAGTAGACAACAAATTTTACCTATAAAGATATGCAAAAGTTAGAGGCAGAGATGACGAGAGAGTTGTGGCATTTTTTCCAGTCCCTATATCTTGCCATCCCTGATGCCAGCCAAGTCTCTCTATAGGTTAGTTAATGATCTGATAAAATCTACTGTTTCATTTGACCTAGTTGCATTTCTGTCACTTGCCACCTGAAGATTTTGGACTCATAGCTGAATTACATTCAGTTCCTTTAAATCATCATGTTCTCTTATATCATGGTATATTTGCCACCTACCCTCCCCGGAAACACTGTTCAACCCTTATTTGCTCTTCTCTCTTTTGCCTGGCTGGTTGCTTTGGGTCTCATCTTAGATACCAATTCCTCTGGGAAGAGTCTACCTCCCACTCTTCTGACTCCTGAGTCTGGGATGCATACCCTTCTGTTCTATAGCACCCATGTTATCCATATCATATCACAGTGCATGGAAGCAGTCTATACATTTGTCTATACTCTCCTTGACATGTATATTCTGGAAGTAGAGACCATATTTCTCTTGTCATTATTGTATCCCAAGCACTGGCATATAGTAAATTTTCAATAAATATTTTTTAAATTGATAGCTTAGAGTCCTCATCTGTAAAAAGGAAATATTGATTATTTCAAGACCATATGACACATATTAATAAATGGCAGAGCTAGGAATTCTTCCCAGCTCAGTCTGATTCCACTGTTAATTTCAAATATATCAAGGATTGTTTGGATCATTGTCCATTGTCACATTCTGAGTTTCATATATTAAGAAGGTATATATTAAATTCTGCAATAACAAGTACTAAGAGGGTCGAAAAATGAATGAAGTCTCAGCCACAGGCTCTGGAGGAGGAACCAAGATATTGGAATTACTTGATCTAAGAAAGAGATAGTCAAAGAAAGAAATAACATTGTATGTCTCTTCTTTGAAGCATCAATTGTAGCATAAAGAATAAAGAATTTCTTGAGAAACCAGTGAATGAATCTGTGAAATCTAGAGAGGTTTTCAGATTAGAATATATTTAATAATTAATTGTGATTGCTAAGAGGCCTGCCTAAGCTGAGGAATAGATGCTATATCTGTAACACGTTCCTTGGGTCTTGTGACTGTGATAGGAGGGCCAGTTGTTATTGGAATAGGATATGTGCTCATCCACTGGTTGGCCTTTTGTCTCCACACTATCACTTCTGCCCCTCGTTTGTAGCAGGTCCTGTAACCACAGGAGTAGGCCAAAACCTGATCTTCTAGACCCCATCTTCTAGACCCCATCTTCTAGACCATAGTGATTGATGGAGGAAAGCAAGCATGTCCCAAAGTAGCCCTTCAATTTCTCAGTCTGAGATTTCTGCACTGAGGCTGAATAAGAGAAATGCTGTCTAGATGCTTTGGAGATGGCGTGAAACACATACACCAGGAGATTGCAGGAGTCATAGTCCTCATCATGTGGAGAAAACCAAGTTGCAGCAGACAAGAATGATGCCAATACATAAAAAGGAGTAGGAATGGAGGGAAGGAGGAGACAGGAGAAGGCAGGAAAAGGAGAGAGTCAGAGAAAGGCACAAAGAAAGTAAATGGTGTTCAAATTCCCATGTTCTGCCTTCCTATGATTTTATTTGCCAGAAAATCTCCCTCCCCTTTATATCTTAACTAGTTTGAGGATCTTAAACTGACCAAACTAAAGAAAACTGGCTTACTTCAGCATTATACATTTTATGAAGCAGAACAATATTAGCGTGACAAAGGAAATATTTTGATTAACTTTTAGTCCTTTGGCCTCAAATGTAGTAAGTTTTAATAAATAATGACATGGTTTTTAAAAAAAAAATCTTTTTTCTTCTTGGATCTGTCTTTGAGGCCCAGAGGATCTGTGATAAAAGCTTAAGGATTATCGTTAATGAAGTTATGAGTACTCTTGTATCCCCATTGTTTCGTCTACATCAAAAATTGGCAAACAACTTCTGTAAAAGGCAGACAGTGAATCTCTTAGTCTTTTCAGGCCGTGGAGCCTTTTTTGAAATTACTCGGTTCTGCCTTTGTACTGTGAAAGCAGTCAGAAACAATAGGTAAAGGAATGAGCATGGCTGTGTGCCAATAAAACTTTATTTACATAAACAGAAAGCAGGTCAGGTTTGGTCCTCAGACTGTAAACACCTGGTCTACATGGTCCAAATATTTGTCGTAAAAACAGTTATTTCTACACACAATAGAAGATTTTGAGATCATCAGCTATTAAGGCTTTCTGGTTCTTTGTTATAATCCCTTCTATTTTAAATTGGCAAGCACTCAACATTATCTTTGTTGCTACATTTGTACACTATTTTAAATAATTGGAAATGAAATCCTTTTGTCCTTTACCATCTTGGCTGACCTTGTTCTCCCCATTCCCTGTATGTTACTAATGGAGCTTGAAATTCAGTGTCATTTCTGTTTATCTGTTATTAACGCATACATAGCATGTCTCATAAAGTACATATCTTTTAAAGAACTAGTTCATTGGAACATGGGCTTGTACGAGATGAGATGATATCTTTTGATCTGGTGTGTCCTTTCTTCTTTCAAAATTTAAAGTATGGATACCAATTACAATAGCTGTGTATTAATACATTAAATTCAAATTTGTGGTCTTAGCTCTGAGTGTTTTGGGTTCTGTGGGTATCTAATTCCTGTTAAGTTTATATACCCTAGTATAATTAGACTCTATTTCATAAAGAGAGTCAAAATACATTTTATATTCTGTAAAACCTGGTCAATTATCTTCTGTAATGGTTTTAAAATTGGTTCACAAAATCTTTGATAGTCTTCCCTTCAAGAGATAGAGCCTAGTTCCCTTTCCCTTGAGCATAGGCTAGACTTAGTTTCTGGCTTCAAACAAATAAAACTGAAGGAAAGTGACCATGTATGACTCAGAGATTCAGTCATAAAAGCCAGTTTAGTTTCCTCCATGTTATCTCTCTTGGATCACTGACTCTGAAGGAAGCCAGCTACCATGTTATAAGGCTATTCAAACAGCCTTGTAATGTGACCTTCATTCATGTGGCAAGGAATTGAGGCCTTTGGCCAACAGCCTGTGAGGAGCTGAGGCTTCCTGCCAACAGCCACGAGTGAGCATGGAGCAGATCCTCCAGCCCCAGTCAAGCCTTCAGATGACTGCAACATGACTGCAACCCTTTTAGAAACCCTGAGCCAGAACCACCTAGATGAGTTATCCTAGACTTCTGGCCCACACAAACTATGTGAAAATAAATGTTTATTCTTTTAGGTTTGGGAGTAATTGGTTACACAACAATAGATAACTGATATATCTTCTAGGCAGAGTTTATGACTCAAAAGGGAGAGGTCAGGGGTAAAGATGATCTGCAGCTGCATGGTGTTACTGGGCAGCCAGCCAGCTGCTCTGCTGGAAGACAGGTTTAGATGTGTTGGTGAAGGAAGATGGAATTCAGCTTAATGAGCTGAATAAATTTAAGCCAATTTATATGTTCAAAATTATTAGATAATATTTTGGCAGATATTAGTAACCTTTCAACCTTGGCTACAAACCTGGAGAGTTTTAAAATAATGATGCCTGGATCCCATTCCCAGAGACTCTGAATTAATTGCTCTGCGTTGCAGTCTGAGCATCAGGATTTTTAAATTTCCCTAGGTGATTTTAACGTGCAGCCAAGATTGAGAACTACTGCTTTGTAAGTTAGGAGTTGGAAAGAGTAAGCTTCCCACCTCAACATTTCTCTACCAGATGGCAAATTACAATGAAAGCAAGTCTCAGACCAAATCTGCAAAGCAAATATTTACAGGCAAGTCGAAACAGACATCTAAACTTTTCTTAAGGCCCAATGAAATTATAGTTCCCAATCTTTTCAGGCTTTCTAGACAGGCATGAGGCATGAAGGATTTGCTCAGGACAAATCCTATAATATTTTAGGAGCAGAATTCTGTTAAACCTGTAGTTACATCCTGTGCCCAAGCCTTCCCTTAAGAGGCATATGTTCTTCTGCAATGGGTGTTGGAGTTATCAGATCCTCATACCTCTTTGTGAGAGGGTAGAGGTGCCTGTACCATAATTCCTACAACTCATTCACATATTTTGAACACTATTTCCCCAATGAAAAGAAGTCTTTAATATCCATAATGCTGGCCAACGAAACACTTAATGCTGAATTGAGATAAAGATAGTGGAAGCATTTATGGTAGCAGCCTTCAGAATGTGGACTTCGATGAGAGCACCAGTTTCTCAACCCTGGCTGTGTATTACATTTTTAAAAAAGACCTCCAGACCTCACCCCAGTCTAATTAAATCAGAAGCTCTGAGAGCAGAGCTTGACATTAATATTTTTTAAAAGCTTCTCAACAAATTATGATTGATAGGGGTAATAGTTATGAGAAGATTGGGACTCTGAAGGGATAGAACACACAGGAGAATTTTTTGGGGTAGTAAAATGGTGTTTGGGTTGTGGGGGTAGTTATACAAATCTATACATGTATTGAAATTCATTGAACTGTACAACAAAAGAAATAAAATATACTATACAACAAAAGAATACTGTACAACAAAATAAAATATTAAACTGTACAACAAATAAAATATTGATTTTATTGTATGATAATTTAAAAATAAAATAGTATAACTGCTAAAATATTTTTGAAAGCCCTCTGATGATCTTAATGTAGAGCCAGGATTGAGTCACTGTACTAGATTAAGAGCTGGTCAACCATTGCTGGGATGTGTATTCATAATTAGGCACCACCAATATTAACCTCCTAAGTTGACTATCCTCTAACCACTAACCACACACATGCCCATACCCTTGTTTGTAGACACGCCACATTGTCTATGGTGAAGTAGTTTTTTAATAATTACAAATATATAAAAGTGAGATACAGCTGTCTTTCACAGATTAGATTCACACTGAGGAATTTTAGAGTATGGCAATGGGAAATTGCATGAGTCAGTAGTTTTATTCATCTCTGCTCTTAGAGAAAAAACTACTAGTGTAGTTGCTCTCCCTCAAAACAATGTTTCTCAAACCTATTAACTCTGGCTTTTATAGAATAATGCAGAATCCCAATAGGAGAGCTGTTTGGCAGTTTAATTAGTTTTATTTCTAAGTGAGACCACAGGAAGAAATAAATGTATCATGAAACAGTGTGTATGAATATATGTGTATATATTGTATAAATAAAATAAAAGTTTCAAGAAACATAGGCAGGCCTTTCCTATTTTATTGTGCTTCAGTGGAGTGCTGATCATGATATCATGATGAATATATATCATCAGGGGATGGTGAGCCAATTACAGTTGACTGGACAATAGAACCAGGTTCTACTCTGGAATAATAGACCCAGGCATTTATGCTTCTCCCTGCTGTGACATAAGGAGACAGATAGGAATTTGACCCATGGCTATACCATTCAAATGCTTTCGAAGCTTTATTCTGCATCCCTACTTTGGAGTGGGTGTTAACAGCACCTGGGAGTTTCTGCTATCCTCCCTTTTTATAGCATCTTGGCTTCCATTTCCTCAGAGCTGTAAGAAGGCATATGGGCACAGTCAAGGTTAATAGAATGGAGACTCTGATTCCCATCCTTCTCCTCTGCTTTTTCCTTTTTTAGCCCCACACCTGGAAATATTCCTGGTTTTTGAGGACAGAACAGCTGAATTAATAAATGCCTGTTTGTATGCACATAGAACAGAGGAATATATGCACTTTAATCCTTTTGGTATTTCCCTGTGGCCTGTGCTCAGCTCTTGAATTGATGTGTGCTACCTATGGATAGATAAGCTTGGCTTTGCTTCCTTCCTCCTCACTCTACCATTCATTCTCCTTGCACTATCAGGCTGGTGACATCAAGATGCTGTGAGCCACAGTTCAGTGTGGAGGATCAACTAGCCACCAGCAAACATCGCATAGTTTCATGACATTATGTATTTTTAAAATATTTGATGTCATAAGGATAATAAGACAAAGTCTACATTATGCCAGGGATTGACTTCTGGGAGGAATCTTAATGCTAATTCAGGTTTCTTGATATCTTAGAAAAGCAGACATTCTATGGCTTGATAGTACTACTGATTTTATATGATATCTACGATAGAGAGAATTTTCTCATTTAGCATAGACTGTTCAATAGCCATTAAAGAATGTCATAGGCATTACTAATGGAAACTGAATAGTATAGTATGAATTTGATGTGTAGCTGAGACTCTGATATGAACGTATGATCAGTTTTAATGAAGAAGTAACTGAGCTGAGTATCATCCATATACAGAACCGATGAATTAAGAGGGACTACAACATTTACTTGTACATGTTTCCCAGCCCGACATTTGAAAAGGAATCATGAGATTTTATACTGCCTCTTTAAGCACATTTTTTTTCAGGTTAGAAACTATGATCATATCTTTACCTTACATAAGAAAAATTAATAAACTGTCATTTGTATTTTTATGACTAGAATAAAGAACTAGTCAGCACCTTCAACTCACACTCCTCTCTCATTTCTTTTTCTCTGTTATTTCCCTAAGGATACAGTTCTGGTGTATCTTTAAATCTGTAAGTGATACCAAAGAGCCAGAAGCTTTTCCAGTGATTCAAACACACTTAAGTCCCAAATGCAAAATTTGGAAAAAAATTCCAAAGGTAAATATTACTTTTGTACCAACTGAAAATCACATATTTCTTCCTGTTGCTTGGAAATACCCTTAGCCTCTTAAGTGGTATTTCTTAGAAAACCAAGAAATTGCTATAATTAAAACATAACTTATAGCTCTAGATTCCAATTAACATTGTCATTATTTAAAGTATCTTTGAGTTATATTTTCAGAATTTAATGCAGTTGCCAAGTCGCGTTAAAAGCAAAATGTAAATATGAGTAATATTTTTTGTCCTTGTTTCAAAGTAAACATTCTCAAGGTGACAAAAAAGGAAGCGTTGCTGTGAGCAAATAAAACAAATTATTAAGCCGTTTTGTATAATTACAAAACGGCTTAATATAATTAGAATTGACTTTAGTAATTTTTTTCATCAACTTAAAAATATCTGACAAATTTATTATTCACAGTTAATTAATGAATAGTTCAGATGTAGCTTTTGAAATTATTTCCAAAGCTATTGTATTATCTTCATGAATAACCAAGAAGGCAAGGAAGGTTACCTGCTTTGAAAAGACCATGGGAGTAGGTTTGAATTGTCCTTTACCAAGGGCTCTATGAAATTAATTGTACAATATGAGAATCTTAAAACATTACCTATGAGGTAGAAATAAAATAAACCATAATAGATGTTAACAGAGAAAATACAACTCTAGTTTCTTATCACTATATAGCAATAATAATTAACTGGTAGAGATTAAGCTTATTTAAAAGCTTAAGGAAGATATTTAAATACAGCTTTGAAAAGTGATCATTTCAGATAAATTAAAAAATATATATTTAAAAATCAAGAATAATATTTACAGGATATTTTTTCTTGCTGATGTCTAGGCAATTGAAGTATCAGCAAATTTCTATCTAACAATGAGCGAATATTAGAATTTTACATTAGTGTCTACATTAGTTTCCTAGGGCTGCCTGGGAAACTTATCACAAACTTGGTGGCTTAAAACAATAAGAATTTATACTCTTACGGTTCTGGGGACTAGAAGCCTGAAATCAATGTGTGAGCAAGATTGATTCAGTTTGGAGGACTGAAGGGAGAATGTGTCCCATGCCTCTCTTCTGGCACTGGTAGTTACTGACAACACTTAATGTTCCTTGACTTGCAGCTGAATCACTTCAATCTCTGTCTCTATTATCATGTGGTGTTCTCTCTGGATGCCTCTGTGTCTCTGTGTTGGCACAGAGCCTTCTTTTTTTTTAGACGAAGTCTCGCTCTGTCACCAAGCTGGAGTGCAGTAGCGTGATCTTGGCTCACTGCAACCTCCACCTCCTGGGTTCAAGCAATTCTCTACCTCAGCCTCCCGAGTAGCTGGGATTACAGGCATCCGCCACCACACCTGGTGAATTTTTGTATTTTTAGTAGGGACGGGGTTTCACCATGTTGCCAGACTGGTCTTGAACTCCTGACCTCGTGATCCACCCACCTCAGCCTCCCAAAGTGCTGGGATTACAGGCTTGAGCCACCGCACCCAGCTGAGCCTTCTAATTAGCACAGCAGTCATTGGGTTTAGGGTCCAGTTGAATCCAGTATGATGTCATCTTAACTAATTACATCTGCAGATACCCTATTTCCAAATAAGATCATATTTTGAGTGTCTGGGTGAACACAAATTTTGGGGGACACTATTCAACACAGCACAATGTTGTATCTTTTGCAAAGAAAAATTGCGTAAAAAACCTGCCCAAAATACATTTTTGGTGTTCATATTGTGAACTGGTAGTTAAGCAATTACATTTAGGAAGTACATTGTTTAATTTTTGTTAAATTTTATCAAACTAAAGAATTGGGGAATAATAATAATTGCTATTTTAGAAAATGTTTGCATAGTCTTCATATACCTTAGCAGAAAGAATCAACAAATATTTATTGAACATTTACTATGCCCAAGGCACTTCATAGAATATTGGTCTTTCATTTATCTAAAACAAGATTACTATTGATAGAAATATTTATCATATTCATTTTTGATTGATTGCAATACCCAAAGAAGGGCACAAGATATTGAAAACAGAAACACAAACAAGAAATAGTACTTTTCCTCAAAAGCTTTAAAATAAAAATATACTACATTTTTATAAAATATAAAGAGAAAGAGGCAGTTGGTGAGGAAAAGACAAACTGCTACTTATTAGCCAGATAACCATGGGCAGGTTAGTAAATTTCTCTGCATCTTTGTTCCCTCATCTATAAATGGGGTCGGTAATATTTCTATCTATCTCAGATCATTGCTAGAAGGATTAAATGAGTATATGCATGAAATGTGTTTAGAATGGTACCTAGATGCATAAACCTTTGTGTGATAGCTATTGCTACAAGGAAAATTAATGCATATAGATATTTAATAACGGTGTGGGACAATATTAAAAGTCTTTTTAAATTGAAATAATCTCCAGAAAATGGTTTCCAATAAACACTGGGTAACTTGGTAGTTATGAACAAGTTATTTGAGATAGCAATTGCTTTTTTTATTGGCAGATATTTGTCTATTTCAATTTAATGATTGGTTTTTACTTGGAGAATGTAATTATTTATTCTGGTGTTGAGTTTGCTGTTAAATGTAAATCAGGTGGAAAAACCTAAAATATTTGAAGAATTTGAATGCTATTGGTGTGTTTTTGACCTATGTGGGTTTGAACGGTTCCCCCTGTGAGGTCCTGTGACAATGGTTATGAAACTCTCTCTCTTGCACCCCATAGGAAAAGATATATAGAAAGAGATGGAATACTCACCTTGAACATATCTTGGTCTCATGTTCGTTCCTGTCTCCAAAGAGACTGTTGCCGCTGTTGACTTCTCAGGACAACCACACTTCCTTGGATATCTACTGCCACAGACAAAACCATACCACGGACAGCAGTTGAATTACTCTGATTCTGATGTTTTCTTTCCCCAAACCAACCAAGTCTAGTGTGGGAATTGAATGGAGCCTGGATAATCACAAAGCTTCTATGAGTACAACTTCACTACTGGCTACTGAGCAGTACTTTTTTTTTTTTTTTTTCGACATGGATGAATGATATTTTAAGGGGGCTAATAGGCTGTAGCTAGTGGGAGGAAATACATTTGGGTAATTAAGGTGAGGACATGAAGAAACCTGCTGGCTACAGGTTGCAGCTGTATTCCACCCAGTGTATTTGTTATGGTTCAGCTGAGTTGGGAAACCTGTGATAGGCCTGGTTCCACCACTCACTGTTCCACAGCTACAATTTAACAATGTTCTCAACCTGAAAAAGGTACAGTGTACACTGCATTCTTCTTCCCACATGCCTCAATGTGTCTTCATTTTCTTCTACCCCATCTGCTTCCTGTAAGTTACTTTTACAGTTGCTACCCAAAAAGGGAGAAGAATAAATTTTTGTAAATTTAAACTAATGTCAGATATTAAGTATTAAGTAGGAAATCTGTAAAATAGTATTTCCCTGGGAAGTTGGTAAGTGCTACAGGAGAAACGCTTCCACAGAAAAGTAAGGCTGGGAAATGTTAGGTGATATTATGCTAAACTAAAATTGGGAGGGTGACCACGTGATTTATTGTTCAAACTGGGATAATTTAGAGAGAGAAAAAGGGAGCACCATTGATATTATGCCAGGGGAAGCATTAATCAGATTGTTCCAGGCAACTATGGAAGTATGGTCACCCAATTCATTGTATGTCATGTTAGAATCTTTAAAATGATAATAAACATTTGCTTGGGAAGAAAATAGTATATAGTATCTCCCCAAAATATACGTGGAATATGTCGAAGGTCTGTGTTTAAAAGTGTTTGTGAAATGTTGGTTTTAGATATGTACTTAGAAATCATGGATTTCGTACATTCTCCCTCATTTCAAATTTTAAAGGAAACCACATAAAAACAAAAAGAAGGCATTATCATTTCCATATAAATTCAAATGTTTATGGATGATGTTAGATTCTTTAATGAGGACCTTAATTGTGTAATATACATCCTTGGGATTAAAGGTTTTTAAGGATGACTGATATCTCATTAACTTTTTAATAATGTTATAATACCACAGAAGAAAACTAGGTCTGCCCCTAAAGATCATTAGAACAGTCTGCCTATTTTGCCTACATCTTCATCATGAGGACTTTTGATTTTAAGAGTCTTTAATGGTTGTCTCAGGAAAATGCTTTATCGTAAGTCTTATTCATTTATGGACATCAGATTATTTAAGTACAGATTCCCCTGTTGCTGGGGAATGTTTCCTACTTTGTAAAATGATAATGAGAGTTTAATGGTTCACTTCACCCTCGAGGAAAAGTGGTTTCCAGCACATTTGAGATATAGAGACTTTGCTTTCTCTGGAAAGACAAAAACCAAAATTGACCTCAGTTTTCAAGCGTTAATCCTCCAATGGTTAATAGGATATTATTCTTAGCATTCCTTAATCTGTTTTCAAGAGGCCCCAAACTCACTGATTAAAATCTAGCGAGGGAAAGAAAAGAGATGAGAATCGTGAAATAAAGCGTGAAGACGACAGGACACCGTAAGTTAACAGTCGTTAATAGACTTGTGTTATTTGCTGATCTAAAGCACTGGCGTAAATCAGGGTAGGTTAACGAAGGTCAAGGTGGTGAAAGATAGGAGGGTGAGAAAAGGTACAGGTTGCTTGGGTGGAGTAAATGTTAAAAGGAAAGCTCAATTTACCTTAGAATAACAGCTGGAACATTGTAGGCACTCAACAAACCAGTCACTATTCAATGAGTAGTTGTTAAATGAGTGAATGGCTCACAGTAACCAGATCTGAAATGCTGTTTCAATATAGAGATAAAATGATAATTTAGAACAATTTTTTTAAATCATAAAACAAAAGAGGAGAAAAGTGTAGATACTCTTCCTTTTCTCTTGAGCAAATCATTGAGATTCAGATTCTAATTTTAGTATATAATATTTGCTCTGCCCTCCTCACTTGACTGTTTGAGGGTATAGTTAATGTGGATGTCTTATGCAATCATACTGGATTATTATCCTTTGAGGGAATATCAATAATTTCCTTTAGAAAGTTTTTTCTTACCGAACAAGTGACCAAGTATCTACATACGGAGAAGATGCAATGTGGAGATACTTGGCTGCTGCACATGTATATACTACTAATGGAACAGCATGGATCAGTGATTCTGAATGTCTTAATGTGCATTAGATTCACCTGGGCAGCTGTTACAGCCCACCTGTGTCTGTTCCCTTGCTCCAAGAAATTCTGATCTAATTAGTCTGGATGAGGCTCAGGAATTGGTATGTTTTTAAAGCTCCCCAGATGATTCTATATGTTGGTAGAATTGAGAACTACTATTATAGACCAAAGTTGGGGGTGAGGAGAAAGGAAACAGGGAGGGAGATAGAGCCTACAATTTTTCCTATATTAATTTAGTGAATATTTCATGAATATTATTTATCTGCCAGACACTGTGCTAGGCACTAGGCATATATTAATGACTAATGTCAACAAAATTCCTACCTTCCTTGACCTTACATTCTAGTTGAAAAAGGCAATAAACAAATACGTACTTTATTGATTTTTTCCAGCTTTATTAACATTTAATTGAGAAACATTTTATATAGTGTACAATGTGATGTTTTGATATGTGTATACATTGTACAATAATTGAATTAAGCTAATTAACAGATACTTCACCTCACATACTTATCATTTTTTGTGGTGAGAACATTTTAAGTCTACTGTCTTAGCAATTTTCAAGTGCACATTAACTATAGTTACCATGCTATACAATAGATCTCCAGAACTTACACTCCTCTTGTCTGACTGAAACTTTGTAACTTTGATCGACATATCCACATCACCCCCTTTCTCCCAATCCAACCCCTGGGTACTCACCATTTCACTCTCTGCTAAAGTTCAACTTTTTGGTTCCATATATAAGTGAAATCATGCAGTGTTTGTCTCTCTGTGCCTAATGTCCTCCAAGTTCGTTCATGTCGTTCAAATGGCAGGATTTCCTTACTGTTTAATAGCTGAGTAGTATTCCATTGTATATATAGAGCACATTTTCTTCATCTGTTCATACATTGATGGACACTTAGGTTGATTCCATATTTTGGTTATTGTAAATAGTGCTTGCAATGAACATGGGAGTGCAGATATCTCTTTGACATGCTGACTTCGTTTCCTTTGAATATATATCTAGAAGTAGAAATGTTAGATCATATGGTAGTTCTATTTTTAGTTTTATAGGAACCTCTATGCTGTTTTCTATATGGCCGTACTAATTTATATTTTCATTAACAGTGTACCAGCGTTTCCTTATCTCCACATCCTCAACAACACTTACCTTTTGTCTTTTAGACAACAGCCGTTTTAACAGATGTGAGGTGATATCTCATTGTGGTTTTAATTGGCATTTCCCTGATGTTTAGTGATGTTGAGCATTTTTTATATTCCCACTGGCCATATGTATGTCTTCTTTTATATTTAATTGATTTGAAGACATATATATATTTCATAATTTAATACCTGTAAAATAATTATACATTTTACATTGAATGTGATAAAGTATTGCAACATTTAGTTATTAGACAATTTTTTCTTAGTGGTAAATAGAATAATGGTACACATTACATCTATGAGATCTTAGATTCAATGAAATATAATTTCAGATAGAATCAAGGAAATTAACCTCTTCATAGTAAACAAGGCTTCAAATCACACAATCCATAAGTTACAAATCTCAATTAACAAAGCAATTGTTAACAAATTGCTACCCTGAATAAACACTGCAATTCCTTCATAAAGGTTTTACTTCCCTGGACCAACACTGTAACTTTTCTACAGATCCTACATATTTAATTGAACAAATACCATGAATCTTTAAAGTGTATGTTATTAGTTTTCAGACACAATTCTCCATGAGTCTGTTATGTTTCTCCACATTTTGAGAAGTGAGGTGCTGACTGCCCTTTGTATCAACTACCTATTCAAGGATGTTTGTGTAACCAACAGTCTTGGAAGACTGAGATAGTATCCTCCCACAGAGCAAAGGGCAGGCATGCTTATTGCCCATTGTAAAAGACTCAGGTCCATCAGGAAATATTCCCATGTAACAAATCTGCACACGTACCCTCTGTATCTAAAATAAAAGATGAAATTTAAAAAAATACTCATGTTTGCTAAACTCTGCTGCATGTTCAGGTACTATCTAACCCTTTTCACATTGCCCTTTGGGAACTAGCTACAAAGTAGCAACATAATGCCCCTATTATAGTGGGTATGGTTGAAGGGTTGGGTAATAAATAAACTCTTGGCCCAGGTCCTGCCTCATAGTGATCAAGAGAACCACAAGTGGTCATTTTCCCACTCCTAAATGAATAATTATAATAGACATACAGAGTAGTTGGCAAATCCTCCACAGTGATTCCTTGGTCTGTGGAGTAAGAGTTAAAACTGCTCCCCCACCCATCCCAAAACAGTAAATTACTACAATTTTTATGTCCCACTGGGGACTAGCAGGGATTAGAGTTGCCCTTAACTACCTAAAGAACGCAGAATTGGTGATTCCTACCATATTCTCTTTAAACCAGACAAATCCCGAAGGATGAGAGTGAACTGTGCTAAATGTGTTATCTTTGCCAGAGCAGAATTACTGGCCTGAGGTGTGTTGTATGCTGCCAGTGACCTGGTGATACATTGTTTTCCAGCCCTATCTGGAAGACAATCAGAAATAGTTTGCATTCACTTGGGATGGAGAAGAGTATATATTTTTTCTCTTACTCTGGAGCTATCTTACCTTTACCTTCTGTCATAATATAGTTAAAGGAACCTGGACTATTGAGATGAACAGCAGAACATCACATTGGTCCATCCAATCAATGATATGTCAGTTGGACCAGCTGAGCAACAATTGACAAGTACATTAAAGGCTTTGTTAAGGTGCTTCATTCCAGAAAGGGGAGAAATAAACCCTATGATGATTTAGAGACTTGTCCTTATCAATATAGACTATAATACTCCCGTGGTCTGAAGCATGTTGGGGTATCCTCTCAGAAGTAGAGAACAAGTTATGACATGTTGTACCTCACGCCATTTAGAAGAAATTACAAGGACGGATAGACTACTTCAGGTTATCAAAGCAGTATATTCCCAGGCTGGAAAAATGATTCTAACTGATTTACTAGGTGATAACAAAGGCTGCCAACATTGATTGAGAAATGCCATAAGAAAGGTTTCTACAGCAGACGCACCCGAGTACAAAGAACTTGGCTGCTTGAGCTACATCACCCAGAAGGCTCTTTAGTATTAGACGTATCATCTGTGGGCAAAGATGCATGAATTTCTGGAAATCTTCTCTTAGGAAAAATTTATCTTAAAAATATGAGTACTAGGAGGAAGAGAGGTATGCAGAAAAACAAAAGAAGGACGAGTATCTAATACTTAGATGTTTCTAAGTATTATTTTTATTACAAAAGAGTCAAAACAGCTTAAATACCAAGGAAAAGAATGGTTAAGCAAATTACTTTATATTCAGACTTTGGAATACTATATAGAAGTAACAATGATGTTTAGGAAAAAATGCTCCTGTGTGTGTAACACTCTATGTATACAGTGGGAACATAAATCATTAACATAATCATATTTATGATGGCACAGATACATCCAACATTTATTAATTTGGTAAATAGTGTATTGAGAACACAGTGTCTAGACACTGTCAATACAATGTCCATGAGAGCAGAGCTTTTTCATACTGTTTTCCATATTCCCAAAACCTTAGTGTCTGACATATTTTTAGGATCTCAATAAATATTTATTAAGTGATTTCATTGAGTCTTTATGACAGCATATGAGACAGTTTTTAAATATCCCTAATTTTCTTTAAAATGCTTTATCATAGATAATGAGATATAAATGTGTGTATATTAGTTTTTATATATAACCCAAAGACATTTAGTCAACAATTCAAGTATTCTAATCGAAATTCTCATTCAGAGGTGATTAGTTAATATTGAAAGGCATTGATTAGGAATCTAGACTTCAGATGTGTCTATACCAGTGTTTCAGGTATCACTGTATGATTTTTCATTATTGAGTTCATTAATTATGACAGGGATATTTAGTGGAGATTTCTTGTTGAAATGAGTGATATTCTAAATATGTTGACTAGGAATTATTTTATACATACCTACAAACTTGCTTGAATGGTATATTTAAATCTAGGAAGCCCAATAACCTAATACCTTTGGATCAATACTTTAGATTTCATTATCTGTTCCAACTATGATAGCTGATCTTCACCTTGGAATATCGTTAACAGCGTAGTCTCTGAGTAACACTTCCAAGAAAACTTCTGTGGGATTACGTAAAGACAAAGAACTGGCATGCCTGATTGCCACGGAATGCTTGTATGTTTGGCAGAAATCAGTCTGAGCCTTGCTTTCATTGCTATGGGTCCCCTGACAGAGAAGTAGCAGCGGAGGAGTCCTAATTATTGCAGGTCACCACTATTCACCAAAAAGAACCTGGTAATTGTGAAGGCCAGTATTCGCTTAGGTTCAACAGGGATTGATAAATACCATTGTTATCCCATTTTATATATGAGAAATCTAAGGCTTGGGGAAATAAGTAATTTATCAATGTGATAAAAACTAGATAGAGACAGAACTGGAATGGAAATCTGAGTATTATTCTAATATCCCTTTCCATGCACTTAAAGCAGGTGAAAAAAAAAGAAAATACCAAAATGTATTATTTTAACCATGGGAGAGAAAATAAACCCCCTAAGCAAAAATTGTACATTAAGAAAAAAATAAAATAAAAATTACTAATCGTCTGTGGGATTATGAGCAACTGTTTTTCTTCCTACTTTTCTGTATTATACAAAATTTCTGCATCTAGTATGTATACATTTATAAAGAAAAAAAGTCCAAAAGGTTATTTGATTTCTTTTTTAAACATTTCTGGCTGAAGCAAACCATTCTCTGAATGTTTCTCAAAATAGGATATGTAGAGATAAAAATACCTTCGTAGGCCAAACAAAATTCATCATGTGTCATATCCCTAAAATATATTTATGCTGTTGATACAGAAGTTTTGACACACAAAGAATCTCAGCCAATGCATTATTTTCCTATTATGTGTATTTTTAAATTTTCTATAATCGATTTTGTAACAGAATATTGGTTTTATTGACTAAAATAAAGTGTTGTCATTATTTCAAAGCCATATCAGAAGAAACGTTGAAAAGGAATAGAAATATATCAAACCTTTATGTTCTACTTTAACTTTCCCTTTGCATAGCTTATGTCAATATAATAATAAAATGCATTGCAAGCCTTGCTAAGCATACCCTGGATGAAAGAGGAGGTTTTATTTATGTTTCCTGGTTAGTAATGGGAGAGCTCTAGTATGCTTCACTTGTATACTGTCTGAGTTTTGTAAGCTGATGAATTGGAATATGATAAATACCTATATGACTGACTCTATGGATGAACAACTTTAGTTTAGTGATACTCTTTTTCCAAAATTGTTTTCAGTAGAGCAATTGTTCCCTGAGTTTTGTATTAAGTTACTTTTCAATGGGTAAGATATTTTAGAATGTTGGTTTTTGGCGGTGCTAAGAAAAAAAGTAAGCCAATTTGATAGAAGGATTTTGTTTCTAAAGTAAGAGGTGCAGGATAACAAACTCTTTGCCTCTCTGACTCTTCTATCTACACTTACATATGTGTATAATTTTTATGTTTAAGTAATACGTGTGATCGTTTTTATTTCAGTAAGTATGATGCCTAAATTTTGAGACATATTCTGATCTTGGTAACAAAAAACAAAACTAACAATGCTATCATGTCAGTTGCTAGAATTGCATTATACTATCCAGGCAATGTCATCTGGATTATCTGTATTTCTTCAATACAAAAGTAAAACAATACATTGCTATGTTATTGACCTAATATATTAACAAATGTATGAAGACTGTGTGTGTGTGGTGGGATGTGGGGGGCACTGGACCAGCTCATTTAAAGCTGACAGAGAAATGGATAAAATTTATTTGAGCGCTGCCAAGCAAAGAGACTAGCCTCGGGCGTTCTAAGTCACTAGTGAAGAGGGGAGGTCTGGCTAAGATGGATCACTGATCTCCACCAGAGGTTAGATTCCAAAGATTTTTTTAAGCCACCTGTTCTAGAACATAGAAATACAAGACACGGAAGAGGCAGTCTTTGGTCTAAGTGAAAAATGTGTACTCGACTGCCTAGGATTCTAAACAACTTTTCATCACTTAAATATAGCATCCTGTTTTGAAACTCTTCTACATAAAGCAAACATTATCTTATAAATATTGTCATAGAACACTTAGGGTCCATTGAAATGCTGCCTTAACACTTTTCCAATGTAAAAACAAACAAAACATTTTATTTTATGGTATAAGTTTTTATATTATATTGAAATTTGGCCAATTTTTGCTTAAAAAATTATAGAAAAAAGTCACTTGATTTTTTTAATTTTTAATTTTAATTTTTGTGGGTACATAGTAAGTGTACCTATTTATGAGGTACATGAGATGTTTTGATACAGTCATGCAGTGCATGATAATCACATCATGTATAATGTGGGTATCCATCCCCTCAAACATTTATCTTTTGTGCTACAAACAATCTCTTAGTGATTTCGAAATTATACTCTTAGTGATTTCAAAATGTACAATTAAATTATTACTGGCTATTGTCACCTTGTCGTGCTATCAAACACTAGGTCTTATTCATTCTTTCAATTATATTTTGTACCCATTGACCATCCCCACCCCACCCCCAGTGCCCCACTACCTTTCCTAGCCTCTGGTAACCAACCCTCCACTCTCTATCTTCAAGAGTTCAATTGTTTTGATTTTTAGAGCCCACTAATAAGTGAAAACATGTGATATTTGTCTTTCTGTGCCCAGCTATTTCATTTAGCAGAAGGATCTCCAGTTCCATCCAAGTTATTGCAAATGACTAGATCTCATTCTTTTTATGGCTGAATAGTACTCTGTTGTGTATAAGTACCAGATTTTTTTTTATCCGCTCATGTGTTGATGAACACCTTACGTTGTTTCCGAATCATGACTATTGAGAATAGTGCTGCAACAAACATGGGGGTGCAGATATCTCTTCAGTATACTGATTTCCTTTCTTTTGGGAATATATCCAGCAGTGGGATTGCTGGATCATATGGTAGCTCTATTTTTAGTTTTTGAGAAGCCTTCAAACGGTTCTCCATAGTGGTTGTACTAATTTACCTTCCCACCAACAGTGGAATTCATTATTGCCTGTCTTTTGGATAAAAGCCATTTTAACTAGGGTGAGATGATATCTCATTGTAGTTTTGATTTGCATTTCTCTGATGATCAGTGATGTCAAACACCTTTTCATATGCCTGTTTCCTATTTGTATGTCTTCTTTTGAGAAATGTTTGTTCAGATCTTTTGCCCATTTTAAAATCAGATTATTAGATTTTTTCCTATATGGTTGTTTGAGCTCCTTACATATGCTGGTTATTATTCCCCTGTCAGATGGTAGTTGACAAATATTTTTTCCCATCTGTGTGTTGTCTCTTCACTTCATTGATTATTTCCTTCAATCAGAAGCTTTTTAACCTGATGCCATCCCGTTTGTCCATTTTTGCTTTGGTTGCCTGGGCTTCTGGGGTATTACTCAAGAAATTTTTCTCCCAGATCAATGTCCTGGAGAATTTCCCCAATGTTTTCCTAAAGCAGTTTCATAGCATAAGTCCTAGATTTAAATGATTCATTTTAATATAATTTTTGTATATGGTGAGAGATAGGGGTCTATTTTTATTGTTCTATATATGAATATCCAATGTTCCCAGCACCATTTACTTAAGAGACTGTCTTTTCCCCAGTGTGTATTCTTGGCACTTTTCTTGAAAATGAGTTCACTGTAATACGTGGATTTGCTTTTGGGTTCTCTATTTTGTTGTACTTGTCTATGTGTTTGTCTTTATATCAGGACCATGCTGTTTTGGTTACTATAGCTCTGTAGTACAATTTGAAGTCAGGTAATGTGATTTCTTCAGTTTTGTTCTTTTGGCTTAAGATAGCTTTTAGGATTGTTTTTTTCTATTCCTGTGAAGAATGCCATTGGTATTTTGATAGAGATTGCAGTGAGTCTGTAGTGTTCTTTGGGTAGTGTGGACATTTTAACAATATTGATTCTTTCAATCCATGACTCTGAAATATCTTTCCATTTTTGGTGTCCTCCTCAATTCCTTTCATGGGTGTTTTACAGTTTTCATTACAGAGATCTTCCACTCCTTTGGTTAAGTTAATTCCTAGGTATTTAATTTTATGTGTGGCCATGGTAAATATAATTTTTTATATTTCATTTTCAGAGGGTTCACTGTTGGCATATATAAATTATATGGCTTTTTGAATGCGATTTTGTATCCTGTAACTAATGAATTTAACAGTTCTAATAGGTTTTGTGGAGTCCTTAGGTTTTTCCAAATAAAATATTATATCATCTACAAACAAGGATAATTTGACTTCTTTCTTCTTAATTTGGATTCACTTTATTTCTTTCTCTTGTCTGATTGCTCTAGCTAGGACTTTTAGTACTATGTTGAATGGTAATGGTGAAAGTGGGCATTCTTGTCATGTTCCAGATATTAGACGTAAGGCTTTCAGTTTTTCCCCATTTGGTATGATACTAGCTGTGGGTCTGTAGTATATGGCTTTTTAAATGTTGAGGTATGTTACTTCAATACTGAATTTTTCGAGGTTTTTTTTTTAATCATGAAGGGATATTAAATTTTATCAAATGTTATTTCAGCATCAGTTAAAATGATTTTTGTTCTTTATTCTACTGATAGGATGTATTGCATTGATTGATTTGCTTATGTTGAAACATCCTTGCATCCCAGGGATAAATCCCACTTGGTCATGGTGAATGATCATTTTAATGTATTGTTGAATTTGGTTTGCTATGATTTTTTGAGGATGTTTGTGTCAATATTCATCAGAGATACTGGCCTGTAGTTGTTTTTGTTTTGTTTTGTGTTTTTATGTGTCTTTGTCTCATTTTTGTATTAGGGCAATACCGGCCTCATAGAATGAGTTTGGAAGTATTTCCTCCCCTTCTATTTCTTAGAATGGTTTAAGTGGGATTGGTATTGTTTCTACTTTAAAATTCAGCAGTGAAGGCATGGGATTTTTCAGCAGTGAAGGCTTTTATTTACTGGGAGACTTTTTATTAGGGCTTCTATCTCACTACTTGTTATTGGTCTGTTCAGGTTTTGAATTTAAACCTTGGTAGGTTGTACATGTCTAGGAATTTGTCCATTCTATCTAGATTTTCCAATTTATTGTTACGTAGTTGCTCATGGTAGCCAATAATGATCCTTTGAGTTTCTGTGCTGACAGTTAAAATGTCCCTTTTCATCTGTAAATTTATTTCTTTGGGTCTTCTATCTTTTTTCTTAGTCTGGCTAAAGGTTTGTCAATTTTGTTTAGTTTTTAAAAAAGCACATTTTTATTTCATTGACTGTATTATTTTCTTCATTTCAATTTCATTTATTTCTGCTCTAATCTTTATTATTTATTTTCTTCTACTAATTTTGGATTTGGTTTGCTCTTGCTTTTCTAATTTTTTAAGAGGCATCATTAGGTTGTACTTAAAATCTTTCTTCTTTTTTGTTGTAGACACTTATAGCTATAAAATCCCCTCTTAGTACTGCTTTTGCTGTATCCCATAAGTTTTGGTATGTTGTGTTTCTTCTATCATTTGTTTCAAGAAATTTTTCAATTTCCTTCTTAATTTCTTCATTTACCCACTTGTCATTCAGGAGCATATTGTTTCATTTCCATGTATTTGTATAGTTTCCACAATTCGTCTTGTTATTGATTTCTAGTTTTAGTCCATTGTGGTTAGAAAAGATGTTTGGTATTATTTCAATTTTTTCAAATGTTTTAAGATTTGTTTTGTAACCTAACATATGATCTATCCTTAAGAATGATCCACATGCTGAGGAAAAGAATGCACGTTCTGCAGCCATTGGATGAAATGTTCTGCTAATATCTATTAGGTTCATTTGGCCTATAGTGCAGATGAAGCACAACATTTCTTTGTTTTTTCTGTCTGAAAGATCTGTCCAATGCTGGAAGTAGGGTGTTGAAGTCTCCAGTTATTACTGTATCCGAGTTTATCTCTTGCTTTAGCTCTAATAAATATTATTATATTTCAGGGTGCTCCAGTGTTGGGTGTGTATATATTTACAATGATCATATCATCTTGCTGAATTGACACCATTATCATTATATAGTGACCTTCTTTTTCTCTTCTTATAGTTTTTGTCTTGAAATCTGTTTTGTCTGTTGTAAGTATAGCTACTCCTGCTCTTTTTTGGTTTTCTTTGGCATGGAATATCTTTTTTCATTCCTTTATTTTCAGTCTATGTGTGTTGTTATTGGTGAAGTGAATTTCTTCTAGGCAACAGATCATTGAGTCTTATTATTGTATACATTCTGCCACTCTATGTCCTTTGATTAGAGAGTTTAGTCCATTTACATTCAATGTGATTGATAATAGGGACTTACTCTGGCATTTTGTCATTTTGTTTTCTAGTTGTTTTGTGATCATCTCTTCCTTCTTCTTTCCTTCCTATCTCCCTTCTAGTGAAGGTTATTTTCTCTGTTGATATGATTTTGTTTCTTGCTTTTTATTTTGTGTTTGTGTATCTATTGTACATTTTTTGTCTTCAAGGTCTGCTATAACCACTCCCTGGCTATGGCCTATGTTTACTCAAGGCCCTGGGACTCTACAATCAGCAGATGGCAAAGCCAGTCAGGCGTGTTTCCTTTTTTTCTGGGTGGGAAGTTCCTCCAGGCCCCAAGTGGGTCCAGACGGTTCATCCAAGAGCCACTGACTGGGGTCAAAATCTTTACAAGTATACCTGATATTCTATTGTACTGCAGCTGAGCTGGCACTCAAATTACAAGATGCTGTCCTTCCCACTCTTTCTTCTCCTTTCCAAAGGCAGAGGAGCCTCACCCCATGGTCACCACCACTGCAAGCCCATAGGGAATACTGACAGACTACTGCTGACGTTCCCTTAAGGCTTAAGGGCTCTTCGGTCAGCTTGTGGTGAATTTTGCCTGGCCTAGCTAGCACTCACCCTTCAGGGCAGTGGGCTCCTATCTGGCCCAGGGCAGGTCCAGGAAGCCTGTCCAAAAGCCAAATCATGTAATTTGGGACCCCAAGTGCCTGGTTGGTGCTCTACTCCACTGTGGACCAGATGATACCTGAAGTCAGCAAGTCTCAGAGGCTCACCCAAGGCCTTCAACATCATATCTGGTTATCACTGCTGGCTATTCAGGACCCAAGGGCTCTTCAGTTAGCAGGTGAATGCTGCCAGGACTGGGCTGTTTCCTTAAGGCAGGAGGTTCCCTTCTGGCACAGGGTGTGTCTAGAAATGTCATCTGGGAGCTAGGGCATGGAAAGGGGACCTCACAACTCTGATCAATGTCCTATCCTGCTGCAACTGAGCTGGTATCCAAGATGCAAAACAAATTGCTCCCCGTTCTGCTCCCTCCTTTCCTCAAGTGGAGGAAGTGGTCTCTTTTGGAGCCATAAGCAGTGTAGCCTGGGGTTGATGGAGGGGAGAGGCCAGCACTCCTTTAGTTGCCCTGGCTCATGTCTTAGTAGGTCATGTGTTCCCAGTCCACTGGCTATGGGCCGTGTTCAGCACTAGGACTCACTTAGGAGTTGTAGTCCTGTGGCATAGACTGCCTTTCGAGTTTATTTAGGGTCCCAGTGTACTTTAGTCTGCAGTGGCAAGGCTTGTGAGAACTCAAGTTTGGACCACTAGGATCACTGATTTCCCTCTGGCTAGGGCTAGTTTAAATGCTCCTTCCATGGGCGGGCATCAGCTGAGTTTGGTCCAATTTTGTTTTCTGCTATAACAGGGCAGCACTGAGTTCAATGTCTCACCATTGCTGTGCTCTCCCTCTCCCCAGCATACAGAAATGCTCTCCAGATACTTTTGCTGGGGGGTATGGGAGGGGTTGTGTTGGTGATTCGAGACTGTTTTTTCTACTTCTTCAGTGCCTCTTTCAGCAATATGAAGTTAAAGCCAGGTACTGTGAGTACTCACCTGCATTTTGCTTATATGAAGGTGCTTTTTTCTGTGTAGATAGCTGTTATATTGATGTCCTTGTTGGCAGGTGGAGATCAGTGGAGCCATCTATTTTGCCATCTTGCTCCTCCTCTCCTTGCTTTGATCTTTTAGACATAAATTTATCCCATTAGTTTTCATACCAACAATAAAAATGTACTTTGTTTTCTGTCTTATTAAAGTTGGTAGAAATTTCAAATTACACATAATTTGTGTCTTGAGCTTTCTGTTAGTAAAATTAATAACAACATTTTAAAAATGTTTATAAGTTTCTTTAGTTTACTTTCAAATTAGTTTTATGTGTGTGTGAATTGCATTATTTGTTTTAAACAAAGATAAATCTTCTGGTTCCCAAGCATTTAAGTGTATTGTGTCATAATTAGTAGTTGCATTTTTTTCTGAGTATGTTTTAAATCTTTGAGGGGAGAAATTATTTAAAAATTTTCTAACCTCTAGAATGCTAGAGTCCTGTACATAGCTGAACTTTAATATTATTAAATTGAATTGAATTTACACATTTAAAAAGGAAGAAATGAGGAGTAATAAGAAAGACAGAGAGAGAGGATGGAGAGACACAGAAAAGAAACCGAGGTATTTAACAGGGAAGGAAATGCCCTTTTAGAAAAGATCAAAGGACCTGGATAATTTTGCTTGTTCAATAAATTTCCATGTCATAGGATTCACCTGTAAAAACAAGAAGAAGAAGGAGAAGGAGAAGAAGAGGAAGAGGAAGAGGAAGAAGAAGAAGAAGAAGAAGAAGAAGAAGAAGAGGGAGACAGGCTTCTAGTGTAGGCAAAGTTAACAAAAGCAAAAATAACTTGGGATAACAAAGAATTTCTTGACCAGAAAAACTGTTATATGAAAGCACAAAACAAATAAAATTTCATTGTTCTCTGTCCTTTTGACATTCATTGTCAAATAATTTCACCAGATGGAAGTATTTAACCATGCTTCAAATGCAGGGAGAGGAAAGAACAAAGGAGGATTTAGAGGAGAGGGCAATTAAAACGGAACTTGAAGAATATTTTGGATTTGGGCCCTCAAAGTAAAAGGGGAAGGAGAAGGAATAACAGAAACAAAGGGCACAGAACCCTGAGGGTTTAAATTGGGAGCAGCTCATACACAGGAGAGCCACAACTTAAAACTAGGCCTGGGTTCAAACTTGCGTCTATCAGACCAATGTGAATTCTTTTTGGAACTCCAAACTTGGTGCTTAAATGCTCAAAATTTAGCCATAAGACATTTTTCCTGCATCCTGTAGAATCAGGACATGAAAGGTAAATAGGCATTTCTTTGTATAGAATTTCTAAAGGGATAGAATAGAAAAGTTGAGCAGAAGAGACTTCCATAATTGT
This sequence comes from Homo sapiens, assembly GCF_000001405.40. NCBI lineage: Eukaryota > Metazoa > Chordata > Mammalia > Primates > Hominidae > Homo > Homo sapiens. Next base: position 167,981,102 of record NC_000003.12, on the reverse strand, counting down.
AATGACCTTTAGTGACCATCTGGTTCTCCCCTCTCCCATTAAAATGTGCCCATTAGAATCCTGAGAGCTTAGAAAACATGAACAAAACAAGCAGCTAGTTAGTGCCAGAGCTGCCTGCCATGTAGTCCAGGAATCTTTCTTTAGGGAGAAGCAGGTCCCAGATTGTGGAAGGCAGACGGGCTAGATTTAAACCCCGTTTCCGTCTCTCATTACTATGTGAACTAAGTTGCAGCCAGAGATAAATTTATTTGCCTCATGGGTTTGTTTGGATGACAAAATACTATAATATAGCGGTTAAGAACATGATAAATTTCTTAAACATTCTGTCTTGATACCCTCATATCTAATTGGAAGACAGTAAGTGCCTATTCATAGCTTTGATGTAAGGATTAAATTGAATAAGCCCTTAAAAAACTGTTAATCCATGGAAGTGTTTAGGGCAGCGACTGACACACAGTTACTGCTCCCTAGACACTTGTTAGTAGAACCATCATCATGAATGGAACAGGATCTACGGGTTCGAATCCTCCTTCCATCACATCTTATCTATGTGTCCTTGGCAAACTTTTCTGTGCCTCAGTTTCTTCATCTACAAAATGCAATTAAAAAATACCAGCTTAATAGGGTTATTGTGACAAACAAAGAAAGAACCTAGGAAATGTTTGATATATACTGTGCACTCTTTAAGTCAGCTAGCTGTTTTTCATTATATGAGAACCGCCAAAAGATTGGTTCGTGGTTGTTATTTTGTTTATTTATTTATTTTGAGATGGAGTCTCACTCTGTCGCCCAGGCTGGAGTGCAATAACACAGTCTCGGCTCACTGCAACCTCTGCCTCCTGGGTTCAAGCGATTCTCCTGCCCCAGCCTCCTGAGTAGCTGGGATTACAGGCACCCGCCATCACGCCTGTCTAACTTTTGCATTTTTAGTAGAGACGGGGTTTCACCATGTTGGCCAGGCTGATCTCAAACTCCTGACCTCGTGATCTGCCCACCTTGGTCTCCCAAAGTGCTGGTATTACAGGCGTGAGCCAGCACACCCGGCCCATGGTTGTTATTTTACATGCAAGGGATATAATTTTACGGAATCTACACAAAACTATAGAATGACATGTTTAGAATGTTTTAATGTAAACATGGAGATGAACAAAGGAAAAAAGTCAACACGCAAAAATCTAAGTGAGGAATGATGAAAATTCCAACTATTGACTGTGTTTAGAGAGATGGCATTTTTTGAAAACATTATATAGATATATTTCAAATTCTAGTCAACAGTTATTGCTTATTCTGGAGAACTAAGATTGCTTCTCTTTGACCTAAAGCCCTTCTATCATTAAAGCTGAAGCAATCTTAGCTTTAGGAAGAATATAGAAAATCCAAAGAACAAAAAAGTAATTGCTTTTTAGAGTATAGAGTAATTTTTAAATATAATGATATATTTTTATATAAGATTTAAGGAAAAAGGTAGATTTTTAAAAATTAAATGTATTTTTTAAGATTAAAAATGCATGTACAAGTATTTATAGTATTCACATGGTTCAAAATTCAAGAAGTATAAAAGAATATCTGGTGAAAATTCTCCTTTCCTCTTCTGAACTTTATTCACCTACTTTTCTGCACAGACAACCAATGTTATTGGAGAATCAGGAGAATATTCTGTTGTATGAATTCACTACAATTTTTATTTAACTAATCTCGTATTGATGGACATTTGATTTATCCAGTCTTTCACTATTACAAACAGTCTCACAATGAATAACCTCATAAAAAGGCCATTTTGTGAGAACATGATTTTATTTGTAGTATAAGTTCCTAAAGTTGGGCTTGCTGTTTAAGGCCATGTGTATTTAAAATTTGTTAAATATTGCCAAATTACCCTTCATAGAGGTGGCAATAATTTACACTCCCAACTGGAAATATATCAGAATTCTTCAAACTAGACTTTTTAGCATCTGTTAAAATTCTGGAAAGGGGAGGGGTGAGGACAATGGAATTATCACTAGCACTCAAACAGAATATCAGGTCTGGCGCTCACTCCTGACCATTTTCTGCCGAGATGACAAGTCTCCAGAGAGTCCCCAGTTTGACATGGCTCTGCATTCCACATGGCATGGTAGCAGGGGCAGTGAGAGGTTTCTGGGATATGGATTTGAGGGTGGCTTTGAAGGGTGGAAGAAGCACCTGAGAATTTCTGGGCCTACAAAAGGCTTGGAAATGCTGAGAGGGGCAGTGAAAGAGAAGAAAACTGGGTTTAGGACCAGGAGGTCACAGAGGGCAGAGACCTTGCAATCAGCAGGGGTAGCCAAATCTGATATTATCAGTAGCAAATTATACCCCCAATACCAGATGTGACCTTATAGATAGCTGTGTAGAATGTCTTTTCCTGAGCCAAGCAAGGGAGAGAGAGAGAGAGGTTGTAGCGGGATGAGACACCCTGGCCAAAGACCAACTAGGGCTGACATTCATCTCTTTTCTAATGTCAGAATAGTATATAAACTTGTATCATACCTGGGGGTAGAACAAGGACCCTGTGCTCTCTTGTTTCACCATCTCCTCTTGGATATGTTTTTTTTCCCCCCAATTTGTCCAATGCCTTTACCTTGGATCTCTTATTTTTCTGTTGCCTTAGGTAATTTACTCCTAGTTGCAAACCATAAAATCTTATGTAAGCATAATGTAAACATAAAGAGACTCATAAAACATGGGGAAACTCACAGGAACTTCAGGGAACTAGGCCGAGATATAAAACCAGCAGCAATGCAGCCAGCAGAGAAGTCCAGTGGAAACCACAGTCACCGTGGCTTATCAGTAGATTCCTGATGCTAGGCAGGGGAGGCTAGAAACTGCCACAGCTATTCCAGAAGAACCAGGGGCCTCTGCCACCACACCTGCCCATCTGGAAATACTTGTCCTTGTGACTGCCAGCTGCCTTTGTTGCTCACTTTCACATTCAACTCACACAAGACTTGATGGGACCAGGCCACATGTAGAGCTCTACTTGGAAACGTGCCTGGAAAATGGCTTTGTTAGGTTTTTCATCTACGGTACAAGAGGACTAACATAATACGTGTCAGAATGAATGTTGCATGAAGCAAATGAGGGTATCTATTTCACTCCATGTTTCAACTGTGTCCTTTACATTGAAGAGTGCCACATATATATGTGCTGAGCCTCCGATCTGTATTTTCAACTTCCTGCTAGACAGAGAAAACGACTTGCTCATAGTGTGGAAGCAACATCTCTTTTAAAATAACATTTTTTTTAAGGGATTCTTTCTCCTAAACGAACCTTGTCCTTTATATTTAGCATCCTTGGCTGAGGTCCCTAGATACATGTTCTCGCCACCCTGTCTTCTGAGTTGTTATCTTGAACAGGTCCCCCAGGTGTGCAATCTTCCTACTGAGTACCAGTGGCATGATTATTGTGCTTCAGCTGCAAATTAGTGAAAGAATAAACAATTTTTAAAGGAAATTTTGATTCCGAACCAGCATGTTAAACACAAGATGATTGACTGTGCAATGCTCTCCTTCCCACTAAACACAGATGTATTTCTTGCCGTGTTTTTTCCGTGTAGGTGGATTTACAACTTGGAAATCTCTTGATAACACACACAGCAGCGACTGTCACCTGATAGATCACTTTTCTAGAATACCGTGTTCACAGTCTTGTTCTATAAATCGTTTCTTGGTTTACCATGTAACTTTGCTTCTTATTCCGTTTCATCACTCTTTTCATTCATAAGTGTACAAACATTCCTTCTATCCGTCGTTTACTGTTCTGCTGTCTTATCTGGTACAAACAAGATTATCTGCCTCACCCTAATTTTAATGGTGAACTTTAGATAGTAGAATTACTCATTTATATGTATCTGAGCCTCAGATCTGTGTTTTCAGCTTCCTGCTTCTGAACTTCATTCAGTGGTTCAGTTGCTCCAAAGTAATTTTTACAAACACATTTTTATGCACAAAAGGGAGAAAGTGAACACATGCTGCAGTAAAAGGAATCTTGAATAATTGGTGAGTAAATGTGAGCTTTGCTCTCGTCCCGAGGGCTAGACTGTACATTTCCGGAGTCAGTGTGCTGAAAAACATGATTAAGAGAACCAACAGGCAGGGTTTTCATCTGAGCATATATGGAAATGCTTTTAGATGCAAGAAATTTAGCAGCTTGCTTTAGCGAATGCTATGAGTATCTTTGTCTCTTAAGAGACTGTAGTCTTTCAAAACACCAAATAAGGCTAAATCAGAGGTTTAGGGGACACAAAGTAAAGGCTAGTAGTGGTGATTATAAAAGGTTGACTTTTCCCTCTTTATATTTCACCTTATGTCCTTTAAAGAAAACAGTTTGTATCTTTTCTTATTGCCTGTAGTTTTTGAAAGCTTATTTAAACAACTCCATTGGCATGTTGCCTGTATGAGATCTTCAAGTGAAATAATACTTTATGAAACGCAGACACACTCCCTTTTAAAAGTTTTGTTGGCTAAAACGTGCTTCTGTTTTGCCTATTTAGTAAACTCTGTGAGAAATTATTTAAGGTTTTGGGGCATTAGGAATGGGGCATTATTTCATTTTCATGAAACAAGTCTTTTAAAATAATAGACCATGAGTAATTTCCACTTATTTTTTTTTAAGTTCTCTAGAAAATGCCCCTTTCTCCTTATGCATAAAAATTTGTTGTTTAAAGCTACAAGGGTGAATGATTTTATTTTCGCTCGGAATTGCTTCTTTAAAAACCAGATATTGATTATTTTGTTTGACATAAAGTCATTTTTAAAAAATTTGTTCCTTCTTTTTCTTGAAGATGAGCATTTTAAATGTATGCTCCTGCACTTTCTGATAAATTGCTGCCTGCTTAAATTCTCCACATCATTTCAGATTTTTTTTCGTGTTTGGCAATAATGAGATAGGAAAGGAGTTTGAAGAAGTGAATACGAAAAAGACTTCTCTTGTGTCGAATTTTAATATTTTTTTTCCTAAGAGTTTTGAGTAAAGCCATTTTGCACAAAACACTACTACTGAGAATAAAGAAGTTGTAGAAGAGATTTTTAGTTAAAGAAGGCTTTTCACTTAACGAAACAATGGCAACCTGTATCCATCTTGTATTTATTGAGGAATAATAGAAAACATTATTTCTCTCTAACACAAAAGAGCACTTTAAATTGACTGTTTGATAAAACAGTTATGCATTTAATTATAAATGTTTGCTTCATACACTGCATAATTATATATTTCCAAAGTTATTAACTCTCAGCCCCACTTAGAGGGGAGAAACAGAGATTTAGGGTGCATCTCCTGCACCTACCCATAACCTTCTCCTCTCCAACCCATACTTTGTAAGTGCTCTTCGCTAGCTTATGGGTTCACGTATGGTCACATATCTAATTTTTAAAAATGCAATCATTTGTACTCTTCAAATAATAGATTTCTAAAAGGTTTGTTATCCCTTTCTGTTCCCTAAATCTATCAAGACCTGGCTCACTCAATTCAAGAAAGCGAATCTTTCTTTCAAATGCCTCAAGGAAAAGCAATGGTAGGAACAGATCAATCCATTAAATAGTTGGCCCCAATTTGAGGATACCGTTACTTCTGGTGTTGTCACACTATGTCACTGTTAAAACTAGTTATCTGCAACATAATACATCCTTGTCCACTCCTACAACAATGCTTGTGTTAATCAGACCCATGCCTAGAGAGAGTTGTACCATTTTGGGCTTCCAAGATTAAAATTATTTTATTTTTACTTTGAAGTAAAAGTTGTTGGTATCCTATATACCCTTTACGAGGCTGGTGTGCCTACCCCACAGCTGGTGTGTACTGACTGCTAAGAGCTCATAGTCTTAGTCTTCTTTAAGTACTGACTTTGGGGAAACAAGAGCTTCTTGTTTGGGAAGTTACACTTGAACCTTCTTGCACCTTTTTTTTTTTTTTTTTTTTTTGAGATAGAGTCTCACTGTCTCCCAGGCTGGAGTGCAGTGGCACGATCTCTGCTCACTACAAGCTCTGCCTCCCGGGTTCATGCCATTCTCCTGCCTCAGCCTCCCAAGTAGCTGGGACTACAGGCACCCGCCACCACGCTTGGCTAATTTTTTTTTTGTATTTTTTTAGTAGAGACGGGGTTTCACTGTGTTAGCCAGGATGGTCTCGATCTCCTGACCTCGTGATCCACCTGCCTCGGCCTCTCAAAGTGCTGGGATTACAGGCATGAGCCACCGTGCCCGGCCCTAACACTTGCACCTTTCAACCTGGGAAAAACCCACAGTGTATCACTGGCTGATATTAGAATGAGGAAGACCAGCCCCCTTGCCTCAAGATGGGCCAATTCTGCGGCTGACACAAAGCCTAGAACATAGCAGAGATTCAATAAATACGTATTGAATGATTGAATAAATAGGTAGACACTTGAATATACATTATGGTACATACAAAGCAAATATTTTCTGAGAATATATTAATATTTTCTTTTTTGGTTTCTAAGTTGTAAATCATGGTAAAAAAGATTTTCCCACTTAAAACTAATAAAGGATTTTGCTCATGGCTTCTTCAACTACTTTTTAAGATTTTTTTCTTATGATCAATACACACTTGAGTTTTTCACTATTGTGGCTAACACAGGTCATTGCACCACCTTAGTTTTATATTTATTTAGGCTGTTGTGTCCTCCAAATTTGGAGCCAGCTTGTGCGCAACTTAAATTGACAGCTTTTTTTTTTTTTTTGGTCCTGGAGTTGGAATGGGAGCAGTAGTGGCTGGCAGCAGATATGGTTCCTCATATCAAAATTCCTCCAGAAAAGAATAGAATTTAGGTGAAGATCAATTTGAGCCTAAAGTGATCCCAAATTTTAAGAAGGGGAGGGAGGCCAAAGTAGGAACTTTTTAGGTAGAGGGAATAGCATTATATTGGCTCTGAGTTGGGGAGGAGCTACAAATAGTTGAGAAGCCAAAAAAAAGGCCACAGCTCTTAGTGGAGATGATAAGAAGCTTGAGATGAAACTTGTAAAACAAGCAGGGGTCAAATTATACAAAACCAAAGTCTGGAGCTTACATGAGCCTATTTGAATCTTGTAAAGATCATTCTAGCTGTTTTGCAAAGAATGCACTAGAGTAAGAAGAGATTAATGGCCTGAACCAGGGAAGCTGCAGTGGGAGCAGAGGATGAGTGGAAGAGATAAATTGCTAAGACTTGACAACCAATTGGTTGCTGTGGACAAGGAAGAAGGAGTAGTAAAAGGTAACAGATTTGGACTATGAAATGGCCATAAAAACAAAGGCAGGAGAAAAAGCAGTATAAAAGGAAAGCTAGTAAGTACATTTTTGGGCACATGATGTTTGTGGGGCCTGTAAAATATCCGGGCAATTTGAAATGTGTTGCTACAATTCAGAAGGAGAAGACAGAAATTTGGGAGCCACCTGATAGATATTATCCCATGCTAGCAATGAGGTGGAATGAGTTCCACCAAAGAGAGAGAGTGTAGAGGAAAGAGAGAGAAGTCTTCAAACATATTCTTTGGAATCTTTTGTAAGCAATTGTAGATTGGGGTTTCTGTGCCATGTCTTATGTGAGTAAGTGATAATGTCTGAATACTTACTTTCCAGCTTTCTAATTTAAGCAGAAGAATGAAATAATTGTTTTAGGGTGCTTGCAATTTGGAACACTATTAGAAATTAAATAGTATGTTTATGAGATGTGAATCTTTTGAGAAATGCAGAAAGTAGGTCAGATAAAATAAATGTTGCTACAAATAAGCACATCCAATAGGCAATTCCAAAGCATCCTGATTTTGTATAGCAAGCCATCAACCTTCTAATACTTTTGGCAAGAGGAGAGGAGGTTATGGCCAAATGAAAATTGTAAAGAACAGATGGCTGTCCTCAGGTGACAAATGTTTAACATGAGGCATGCAGACATTTCTCAGTAGGTTGCAAAGACCTTAATGACTGAAAATTTATTTTCGCTTTCTCTGCTTTAATGAAAGGGAGTACAAACTTCCCAGCCTTCTCAGGCAGTTTATTGTTGTACCTATGCCGTTGAAGACAAAACATTGACCTGTGCTATCTTGACAAGGTGGAAGACAGCTGCAAGGCAGAGTTACCAAACTTTCTCTGTTCAGGTGGCCCTTGGTGTATATTATTCCACAGCATCCCAGGCCAAAAGAAATATCTGACACTTCAGTACAGTAAATAGTTAGGTCCAAACAACTTAATAAGTATTTATGTCCTAGCAAATTATTAATAGTAGCGGCTTAAAATAATCCACATAAATTTAGAGAGAAAATATTTTATGTCATTTTTGAATAATCACAATTACTTCCTAATGAGAAGAGTGCACTCATTAGGCACTGCACAGCTTCTCAAACCTCGGAGTCAGTTTGGACACCACTACCCTCACTTCCTGTTCCACATTACTTTTTGTGCAGTCCTTGCTTTTTATTACATAATCTGTGAAAAACCCAGCTTCTAAAAGATATGATGGCATGCAGGGGAATGGTATACAATCTGCGAATTACCTTCAGCTTGTAATTAATTCATGGAACATCTGACAGGTGCTAAAGACCACTGTGTTTCCCTTAAAAATATAAAGCATCTCACAGTACTCTATGGATTTTCTGCATCACCTTGAGGTGCTTTGGCACATAGTTGGAAAACTGTAGCTTTACAGCATTTGAAGGTAATCAGAAATCAGAATGGGATCAGGGAACAGACGGACATTTAGGAGATAATCTCTTTGACTAACCATTTGAATTCCTCACTATAAAAACCTAAGTTTTTTGAGGTCTTAAGAGGCCTTATCATTTGTTCCCCGTTATGCATCAACATTCGTTTGCATGATGTCCTTTCTAAATAATGGAATTAGTTTTCAGGATAAAGCTATAACCTTTTTTCCCAAGATACCATCAGATTTCTTGAGTTAAAAAAAAAAAAAGGTTAGGATATGTTCCTACTTCAGTGGGCAGAATCTCAAAATAATGTAGGTCTGGCAGGGTGTGATTTGTTTTCCTCTTGGAGTACATTGAACTGTTTCTTTGACACTTTGTTAAAGGACACAGTGTCGGAGCTATTATCTATTAGAGGGGACAGGAAATGACTCTGCATATAATCACTAGCAAGCCTAGGTATTTTATTAGACACAAATGAAATATTAGATTCCTACATCACCTTAATTGTGTTCCAAATTGATCTCAAAATTAAATCCTTGTTTCCTCTCTCTTACTGCTTAACTTGCATTTATTTTTTTTACCGCTATGACAACATATTCATTGTAAGTTACAATTTATCAGCTGTCTATAACGTAACTGTTGAGTAGAACAAGATTACCTTCAGCTCCTAGGACAATTATGAAGAAAACTTATCTCTCTTTTCCCGTTTTTCACAGAATCAACCTGATTCTAGAATATGTCATTTGTGAAAGGAAGAAGAAGAAAAGAAAATTACTGTACTTTTTTTTCTAGTGCTTATTGTGTTCTATGCAGTTTACCTGCCTTCATGAATTTGGAGCTCACAAAAACTCTTGTCCAGTAGATTTTTGTTTTTTTCTGATGTGTAAAACATTCCTTGGAATCAGTAATTGTTAGGGTAAGAATTCAAATCCTGCCATCCATGTTCTTTTTACTATATACTATCTCCTCTCTCTAGGACATTAGGACAATGCAACCAGACAAAGCAAAGTCCACATCTTATCTGTGTCCCTCCATTTCAGTATCATGAAAACAGGATCAAGCCAAGTTAGAGTTAGCATTAGAGCCATCGATGGGGAATGTCCCACCAGCTAATGTGCAGAGAAATCGTTCATGGTGTGTTTCCTTAGATTCCTGAGTTGAGATCATGAGGCTTACAAACCCTTAAAAACTTTACCAAGAAGTCCAAAGAAATATGGTCCCAAGAAACTTTGGTACTGGGAGAGACCTCAGAGATTAGTTAGTTTAATTCCATATTATAGATAAGGAAAGAAGGACCAGAGTAGTTTAGTCACCATATCAAATTACTGAGGAGCTGCTTTAGAACCCAGTCACCTGACACCAAATCTAGAGTTGCTTCTATTATGTCACAAAGCCTTTTTTCTATCATGTGCTTTTTTCTTCATTAAACAATGCAACAACATGTATTCATTACAGAAACTTCTCTGAAGACTTCTGCTAAATGTCTTTCTATCCACATATATTCATATACATGTTTTCTTTTTAATTTTTATGGGTACATAGTGTACATATTTATGGGGTACATGAAATAATTTAATACAGACATACCATGTGTAATAATTACATCAGAGTAAATGGGGTATCCATCACCTCAAGCATTTATCATTTGTATTACAAACATTTCCATTCTATTTTTTAAATTATTTTAAAATGTACAATAAATTATTGTTTGCTCAACCTGTTGTGCACTCAAATACTCGTTCTTCTTTATTCTATTTAACTATATTTTTGTACCCCTTAACGATCCCCGTTTCCTGCCCGCGCATCCTTCCTAGCCTCTGGTAACCATCGTTCTACTTTATCTCCATGAGTTCAATGTTTTAAATTTTAGTTCCCACAGTAAGTGAGAACACAAAAAGCATGTGTTTCTGGGTCTGGGTTATTTTATTTAATATAATATCCTCCAGTTTCATCCATGTTATTGCAAATGACTGCGTCTCATTCTTTTAATGGCAGAATAATACTACCTTGGGAATATGTATGTGTACCACATTTTCTTTATCCATTCATCTGTTGATGAATACTTAGGTTGCTTTCAAATCTTGGCTATTGTGAGTAGTGCTGCAATAAACACAGGAGTGTAGATATCTCTTTGATATATTAATGTCCTTTATTTTGGGTATATACCCAGCAGTGGGATTGCCAGATCATATGGTAGTTCTATTTTTAGTTTTTTGAGAGACCTCCATACTATTGTCTATAGTGGCTGTACTAATTTACATTTCACCAACAGTGTGCAAGAAGCCTCTTTTCTCCACATCCTCATCAGCATTTAATATTGCCTGTCTTTTGAATAAAACCAGTTTTAACTGTGGTGAGGTGCTATCTCATTGTAGTTTTCATTTGCATTTTTCCAGTGATCAGTGATGTTGAGCATGTTTTCATGTATCTGTTTGCCATTTGTAGGTCTTCTTTTGAGAAGTGTCTATTCAGATTTTTGCCCATTCATAGATTATTAGATTTTTTCCTATAGAGTTGTTTGAGCTCCTTGTATATTCTGGTTATTAATTCCTTGCTAGATGGATAGTTTGAAAATATTTTCTCCAATTCTATGGATTATCTCTTCACTTTTGTATTGTTTCCTTTGCTGTGCAGAAACTTATGAACTTGATGTGATCCCATTTGCCTGTTTTTGCTTTGGTTGCCTGTTCTTGTGGGGTATTACACAATAAACCTTTGACCAGACCAATTTCTCGGAAACTTCCCCAGTGTTTTCTTTTGGCAGTTTCATAGTTTAAGGTCTTATATTTAAGTCATTAATCTATTTTTATTTGATTTTTGTATTTGATGAGAGGGGTCTAGTGTCATTCTTCTGCATATGGATATCAGTTTTTTAAAACACCATTTATTGAAGAGACTGTCCTTTCCCCAATGTGTGTTCTTGGCACCATTGTCTAAAATGAGTTCATTGTAGGTATATGGATTTATTTCTGTGTTCTCTATTCTGTTCCACTGGTTTATGTGTCTGTTTTTATGCCAGGTCCATGTTGTTTTTGTTATTATAGCGCTGTAATATAATTTGAAGTCAAGTAATGTGATTACTCCAGTTTTGAACTTTTTGCTCAAGATAGCTCTGGCTATTCTGGGTCTTTTGTGCTTCCATATAAATTTTAGGATTATTTTCTCTATTTCTGTGAAGAATGTCACTGGAATTTTTTATAGAGATTGCATTGAATCTGTAGATTGCTTTAGGAAGTATAGACTTTTAACAATATTAATTTTTAGAATCCATGAACATAAAATATGTTTCCATTTTTTGTGTCCTCTTTAATTTATTGTATCAATGTTTTATAGTTTTCATTGTAGAAACTTTTAAAATTTCTTTGGTTTGGTTTATTCCTAGGTATTTTATTTGTAGCTATTACAAATGGGATTACTTTCTTGAATTCTTTGTCAGATTGTTTGCTGTTGGCATATAGAAATGCTACCTATTTTTGTATGTTGATTTTGTATCCTGCAACTTTACTGAATTTATTTATGGGTTCTAATAGTTTCTGGTGGAGTCTTTAGGTTTTTTCAAATATAGGATCATATAACCTGCAAACAAGGATAATTTAAATTCTTCCTTTTCATTTTGGATGCCCTTTATTTCTTTCTCTTTTCTGATTGCTTTAGTTAGGACTTCCAGTAATATGTTGAATAACATTGGTGAAAGTGGGCATCCTCATTGTGTTGCATATATTAGAGGAAAGGCTTTCAGTTATTCCTCATTCAGTATTATACTAATTGTGGATCTCTCATGTATGGCTTTTGTTGTATTGAGGTATGCTTCTTCTATACTAAGTTTTTTTGGTATCAGGGTAATACTGGCCTCACAGAATGAGTTTGGAAGTATTCCCCCATCTTCTATACTTCAGAATAGTTGAAGTAGGATTAATACTATTTCTTTTTTAAATGGTTGATAAAATTCAGCAGTGAAGCCATTGGGTCCCAGGCTTTTCTTTGCTGGGAGACTTTTTTTATTAAAACTTAGCTGTCATCCCTTATTATTGGTCTATTCAGATTTTGGGTTTTTTCATGGTTCAACCTTGGTAGGTTGCAAGTGTCTAGGAGTTTATCCATTTATTCTAGGTTTTCCAATTTATTGACATTTAGTTACTCATAGTAGCCTCTAATGATCCTTTGAATTTCTCTGCTATCATTTGTGATGTGCCCTTTTTTTAAGAAGAACAATCTCTGATGTTATTTATTTGAGTCTTCACTCTTTTTTCTTAGTCTGGCTGAAGTTTTGTGGATTTTATTCCTCTTTTCAAAGCTCCAATATTTGTTTCATTAATCTTTTGTATTGTTTCCTCATTCCAATCCATTTGTTTCTGCTCTGATCTTTATTATTTCTTCTCCTAATTGGGGGTTTGGTTTGCTCTTGCTTTGCTAGTTGTTTAAGACGCATTATTATATTGTTTTTTTTTTTTTTGAGGCTTTTCATTTTTTAAGTTATAAACTTAGTTTCAGGAACCTAAGGAATCTAGTTTGTGCTCTTTTCTACTGTGACTGAGCTGGCACCCAAGCCACGAGACAAAGTTCTTCCCACTCTTACTTCACTTTCCTTAAGCAGAAGGAGTCTCTCCTCATGGCCACTACCACCCCAGGCTCACAGTGAGTACTGCTTAGCTACCACTGATGTTCACTCAAGGCTCAAGGGCTCTTCAGTAAGCCTGTGGTAAAGGCTGCCAGGCGTAGGGCTCTACTTTCAGGGAAGTCGGCTCCCCTCTGGCCCAGAGTGGGTCCAGATATGCCTTCCAGGAGCCAAAGCCTAGAATAAGGGACTCAGGAACCCACTCCTTGCTTTAACCCACTGTGGCCCGGCTGGTACCCAAGCTGCAAGACAAAGTCCCCTTTACCCATCCCTCTTCTTCCTCAAGCAGAAAGAGTCTCTCCCCATGATGATCACAGCTGAGGATGTTCTGAGTCACAGCTGAAGCCAGAATGGTACTGGATCTCACCCAAGGCCTGCAGCAAGTACTACCTGGCTACTGTTGATGTTTATTCAAAGCCCAAGTACTCTTTAGTCAACAGTTGATGGATCCTACCAGAACTGGTTCCTTCCCTGGGCCAGAAGGAAACCCCAGAAAGCAATGGATTCTCTTCTGGCCCAATGTATGTTTAGACATGACATCTGGGAGCTAGGGCTGGAATGTGGGCCTCAGGACTCTGCCTGGTGCCCTATCCAGCTGTGGCTGAGCTGGTATCCAAGTTTTAAAAGAAAGTCCTTTTTACTCTTCCTTCTCCTCTCTTCAAACAGAGGGAAGGAGTCTCTTCCAGAACTGCAAACCGCACTGCCTGGGGTTGGGGGAGGGGTGACACAAGCACTCCATTTTCCACCCCAGGTAATGTATCACTAGGTCATGTGCATCCCAGGTCCACTGGATCCAAGCCTTGCAAGCACCAAGACTTGCAATCCCTGTAGCCTACACTGCCTTTCATGTGCATTTAGAACCCCATAGCACTTCAGTCTGCAGAGGTTCGGCTAGTTGGAACTCAGGTTCTAACTGCTGAGATGGATGATTTCTCTCTGGTGGGGATGGTCTAAATGCTCCCTCCATAGGTGCTGGCTGAATTCTACCCTGTGTTGCCTTCCACTGTGACAGGCAATGCTAAGTTCAATGCAAAGTCCTAAAATCACTGTGCTTTCCCTACCCCAAGCACACAGATTCTCTCTCCACACCAGGTGTCTGCTGCTGGAAAATGGGAGAGGGGCAGTGTCAGCAATTCAAGATTGTCTTTCCTACCACTTCACTGTCTCTTCCTTTGGTATGATGTTACAACCAGGTTCTATGATTGCTCATCTGATTTTTGGTTCTTATCGAGGGGCTTTCTTGTGTGGATAGCTGTTCAGTGTGGTGTTCCTGTAGGGGGAGTGATCACTGGAGGGTTCTATTTGGCCATCTTGCTCTGTGTGATACATCCCATATACATTTTTAAAATGTGATTCTACTACATATGGTAGTTAGCAATTTTTTTGGTCATTAGCAAATTTTTATTCAATATTTTTAAAGTAAGTACCTTTTCACATAAATAAATGTCTATATCATAATTTTTGATATAATAGCATAGTAGGATATATGAAAAACCTTGTGTGGATGTTTATTTTCTTCCTAATTTGTTGCCATTATAAATATTCTTCCCACAAACCTCTCATTATGTACAAGATATACAGCTATTATATACTGTATTGTATATATTATATACAGTCTCATATACTGTACATATACAGCTATCTATTTGCATACTGTCCAATTAATTTCTCAGGATATATTCCTAGAAGTACAATTCCAGGAATAAAGCATGTGTATTTCTCAGGACTCTCTAGAGAAACAACCAATACACACGCATATATATGGACACACACATATGCTCAAATGTATGCACACAATTTGTGCGTGTACATAGAATGCATATACATCATGTGTTTATATATGTATGTAAAGAGATTTATTATAAATAATTGGCTTATGCAATTATGGCAGCTGACAAGTCCCAAAATTTTCATGATGATTCAGCATGTTGGAGATCCAGAAGAGCCAGTAGTGTAGGTTCTAGGCTGAATCTGACAGCCTGAGAACCAGGAGAGCCAGTGTAGTTCCATCTGAAGGCTCAAGATTCATTAAGAGTAGATGCTTCAGTTTGAGTCCAAAGGCAGGAAAAAAACTGATGTTCCAGTTTGAAGGTGATTAGGCCAAAGGAATTCTTTCCTTTTCAGAGGAAGATCAGCTTTCTTGTTCTAGTCAGACCTTCCACTGATTGGATGAGGCCCACACACATTGAGGATGGCAACCTGCTTTACTCAGTTTAGCAATTTAAATGTTAATCTCATCCAGAACCACCCTCACTGAAACATCTAGAATAATGTTTGTTCAAACATCTGAGCAACCTGTGGCCCAGTCAAATTGACACATGAAATGAACCATCACAGCATGTGAACAATTTTAAAGTTTCTGATTTGTATTTCCAAGTTGGCTTCTGGAAATTCTGTACTAATCCAAAAGGCACACACCAGCAGTGGAGTGTGTCCACTGTCCCTCATCCTTGCCAACACTAATCTTATCTAATTCTTTGTCAATATATAACCAGTCCTCATTATTCATAAATTCTGTATTCTTGAATTTGCCTACTCATTAAGATGTATTTGAAACCCTGAAGCACTTTCCTGGTCATTCATGAGCATTCATGAATGAATAAGTTGGGCAAAAAATTTGACACATATCCAGCTAAAGCTGAACAAGGCAACACTCTGCCTTCTTGTTTCAACTTTCTTATTGTAAACAGGCATCGCTTTTAGGTCAATTTAGTGCCAAAATTTTTGCATTTTTGTGCTTTTGCTAGTGGTTTTGCTGTTTAAAATGGTCCCCAATCCCAGTGCTAAAGTGCTGTCTAGTGTTCCTATCTGTAAGAAAGCTGTAATGTGTCTTCTGGAGAAAATACGTATGTCCAATAAGCTTCATTCAGGGCTGAGTTATAGTGCTGTTGAACATGTGGTTAATGTTAATAAGTCAACGCTATGCTACATCCAGAAAAAGCAAGTGAAAATTTGTTCCTCTGTATGTGAGCAGCTCTGGAAAAATGCTCAAGTAACATCTATAGTCCAGGCTGATGACATGGAAAAGATGGAAAAGCAGCGAACTTTGTAGATTTATAAGATGACAAGTAAAAAAAGGAATAGTAGGTAGCCTTGTTGTGATGCCAAATGCCAAAGAAATTTATGTTCATGTCACCCAGGATTAGGAAAATGTTAAACCCTTCTCAGTTACTGTATATAATGAAATTAAATTATATTAATATATTAATCATTTGACAAAAATGTTGTCACTGAAATCTTACAGGAGTCTTATCCTATATTTCTTTTAAAAGCAATGACTCAGTACTCACTACTGTAGTATTCTCAACAACTTTATAGGACATAATTACTGTGACTAATGAGATCAACTACATGTGAAATGTGATTTCTTCTTGTTTTAAGTTGCATATCTTTATTATTGTTAAAATTGGACTTTTCATGTTTATTAACTGTTTTTCCTTTTTCGTCAAGGGGCGGTATAGTGTAGCAGTTAAGATGTGTACGCTGTCTGACATGATTTCTTAGCTCCTTACTTCTTTGATATCAAGAAATCTGTGTTCCAAGCATTTTCTGCCACATACGTTATTGCTTTTACTTTCTGAGTTTTTCTTTTCACATGCAAAATGAAGGTGTGATTATTTTTAATTCCAACATTGTGGGTTTTATGATCTGTAAAATGAGCCTGATATATATAAGATCAACTCTAAATTTATTCCCACCACATACATTTTGTGAATCAGTGACTATTATCACCTTTCCCAGAAGCAGAACATAATTAATGGGATGCTATTACGTGATATCTACTATCTGTGATTCTGTCTTGAAGGACTCATGTGTCTGAAGAATTTTGGAGTGATTATATTCCTAGGAGTTGTTTTCTGGATATATAAATAATATTTAAATTGTTAGGCTAGCCTAGTTTCCTAATGTTATGTTGACTCAGATTAGCAAATGAAACTGGGATTCATCTCACCAGGTAACTATTCCAATTTTTGTTCTATATTATAGAATGGATTTGGACTTGATTTTCTCGTGTTCTTTATGTCTTCACTTGCCTTTAATTATTCAGAGATAATTATCCTGAAGATGAATCGGTATGTTTACTTCTTAACATAGTTGACGATCACATAATCACTGCTAATAAGTAAAGTAATTTTTGGTAATTTTAGCTAAAGAAAAATACACTCATCAAACTTGTACTTAAGATGGCCAATTTACAGCTAAAGTCAAAAGAACATTTAATGTGTAGTGTGCAGAAGAAATAAAGTTAGCAGTACAAAGCCATTCATAACTATTTTCTGAAGGTGTTAATGTTTAAATCTGGCCTTCTGTATCTTTCCATATAACAAAATGTTCCAGCTGTTATTCAAACTTGCTTTGTTAAATTCCAGCCCAGAATCTATACTCACTAGATTATGCTAAGATATATCGAGCCCATCGCAACACATGAGTCGCCAGAAGTAGCCAATCCAGAATTACAACATTTTCTTAGGATTTTTTTTAGAATTATTAATGAAGCTTTTATTTAAATGGTCAGATATCATTGAGAAAAACATACATTCTAGGAGAGGAATTATGCATCTGTATGTACTAAACTGTATCATTTCTGGATGCCCAGTATTTTTTGAACTCCTTGTCTATATTTGGATAATTCTCCACACTTAAAGTTTTGCTTTTTCAAAGGAGGATCCAGAAAATTCACTTTTCTAGACTCCTTTGCTTCTCAGCTGAGGACATAGCATTCACTCTCTAGAAGACTGATTCAAAAGTAAGCAACCTGGAAGTGTAGCATCCATTTTTCTGGAAAGTGTGTTAGCTGGAATAGCAACTTTTGGTGGTAGAAATTTCTTTGTTGGACCAAATCTCTGTGTGCTCTTTGGATGGTCAGTTCTGTTTCCTTAGCTCCATTTATATTCTTTAACAAATTCCTTCCTACTTAGATTAGGCAGGATATACTTTTTGTTTTGCAAATTAATAAAAATAAATGGAGGATTTTCTTTTTTTTTTTCTTTTCTTTTTTTTTTTTTTTGAGACACAGTCTGACTCTATTACCCAGGCTGGAGTGTAGTGGCCCTATCTCAGCTCACTGCAATTTCTGCCTTCCAGGCTCAAGCCATCCTCCCTCCTCAGCCTCCCAAGTAGCTGAGACTACAGGTACATGGCACCACACCTGGATAATTTTTGTATTTTTTGAAGAGACAGTTTTACCATGTTGCCCAGTCTGGTCTCTAACTCATGAGCTCAAGCGATCCACCCACCTCAGCACCCCAAAGTGCTGGGATTACAGACATGAGCCACTGTGACTGGCCAAAGATTTTTAATCAAAATAATATACATATAGCTTTCTAAAAATAAAAGGTTATAATAAACATCAGATACATTCCCACGTTTCTTCATTTCCAGTGCCATTACCCAGAGACATAACAAATTTAGTTGAGTCTTCTGACATTTCTCCCTCTTCCATATCTAAATTATATATGTACATCACTTTTTCTTGATTTATCACATGTAGATTTACTTATTGACTTACAAATTTCTCTCTTTTGCACTAACCTGTCTTCCTTTCCTCTACCTTCTCAATATCTTATAAAACATTTGCTTAAGTTATTGTCAGTATTTACTATGTACATATTGTTTGTTAATGAGTTAAGTAATATACCATTATTGTATTTTACTTTTTTGCAGTCTTTTGCTACTCTTGGAATTCATAACTGCTTTATTCTCTTTCTTGTTTTGTCTGAATTTCCATATACCTTTACAAATCCTGTCGTATCAACCAAACTCACCACTATTATTTCCTCAAATGTACAAATAACTATAATAATTTATAAAGCTTACCTCTTGTTATGAACAAAATGTTTATGTCCTCCCAAAATACATATATTGAAACCTAATTGTCAATGTGAGGCTATTTGGAGGTAAGACCTTTGAGAGATGAATAGTTCATTTGGGCAGAGGGAGCCCTCCTGAATGGGATTAGTGCTCATATAAAAGAGACCCCAGTGACCTCCTCTTCGCTTTCCACCAAGTGAGGTTATCATTGATGAATCAGGAAGACAGCCTTAACCAGACACTGGATCTACCACAGCGTTGATCTTAAACTTTCCACCCTCTAGAGAAATAAATTTCTCTTGTTTGCAAGCCACCTAGTCTATGGCATTTTTTGTTATAGCAGCCCAAATAAACTAAGATATCCCTGGAGTCCTTGTTCTTCCTGCTTTGACCCATACTGGTTACTTTCTAGCCTAAGTCATGGCTGTCCTGGTAAAATTCCACTGTGTAGCTCTCTGTGTTTGGTTCTCTATGTTCTAGATACCAATCTACCTTTTTCTTGTTTTTCTACCACAGTTTGCTAGGACACATCTTATAGTTACTTCTTGAACACGTACATATGGGATTTTGAGTCCTTGCACTTTTGCCAATTCTTTATTCAATTCTCAATACTTGATCATTTGGGCATAAAATTGAATATATTTTTTCCCATATGATTTTTCTATGAGCAGCAAGTCTCCTTTTCATAAAAAGAATCAATTTCTCTTGTTAATTGTCTTTCAATCTTTTATTTCACACAAATCAATTATTAACTCTTGAACATAATCAAGTGGGTATAACAGATGTCTACATTTTTAGTGAGCATTTTTATATCTAAGTATATTTTGCCACCATTAAAAGGAGCTAAATATTTTACTATGTCAAATTTATGAAATATTCTATATATCACCAAAATAATGTGAATATCAATTGATAGCTTTTTGGCTATCTTCTTCAAGACCCAAGAGAATTTAGTGAACTATGAGAAAACTTGGACTTATGATTTGATAGCTATTCCCAGCTGGGAGGATGAAAACTGTTTTGAATATTGTCATTTCTAACAAAATCTACCAGAGAAATCCTGAGATTTACAGGTGTTATGAAGACTTCTTTGATGCTTTAGTTTATTGCCAGAAATTCTGGCATCTCGATTTTACTCTCCTTCTCTATTTTTTCCTCAATATCTTACACAGGCATTGAATTATGTGTATTATCACCACCTCTTCCACTTGATGGTGAACTTTAGGAGAATCGGATATTTGATAATTTATCTTTGTATTTACCTGAGTGGCTACCATTTTACTTTGCTCAGAGAAGGTGTTTAATCAATGTCTATAGAGTTAAGTCATTAAGCGAATCTTTGGTTGACCAGGTTCAACAATGTGATAGTACTGTCCCAGTGAAAAAATAAAGAATGGAAGTTGCATGGAAAAAGATATTGATGTAAACAATGGGACAAAAATAGACACAGAGCATGGGTAAATATAAGAATACATCTTTTAATAAATTCATCTGAAAATTTTACAATAATGTAATGCCTTCAAGGTCTTTGGCAGACACTTTTAAATAAGACAAGAAGGATATTGATTTTTAACCAACAAGGGATTTGATTAGTGCCCTGTTCTTGTTAAGATTAGGGCAATATCTTAAATTCAAAAAAATTTCTCCCATAAAAACCTTTTTAAAGAAACATATAGGCCTTTTGAAGCTCATCCATGCAAATACTTGAGGTTGAGATGCATTCACAGGTTGGAAAGTTAACTTTTTAATGGCTAGGGAAAAGATGAAAAAAAAGAATGAAGAAATCTGAGTAGAACTAAGTATGTTAATTAGAGGAGAAAGTTAAAAAAACAGAGTGCAAGGATCACCTAGGTGTTGGGATTAGCATCAGGATCAACCATGCAGAGGAATTTAATTCATCTGGGAAATCCAACTGAGATTTGACAGCTCTCTCATTATCTCATTGTGTTTGCTCATCCAGCAAAGGTACTGGTTCATTATAATTTTTTATAACACTGAGGTGAAGCATCATAAGATTTAACTCTAGACATAATACCTACTCAAATTGCTGTATTTCCTGGCTTACATCTTTCTCTTAATCTTCTTGCCTACTAGGCAAAATTCAAGTTCCCTGAGGGCAGGATTTACATGCGCGCGTGCGCGCAGAGCATTTATTTATTTACTCCAAGCCAAACTGTATCCAACTTTATTAAAGTTATTTTTCATAAACAATCATGGTATTTCAGGTAGAACATGGGCAGACAATCATTAACAGTATGCAACAACTTTCAAACTCCCTTCTTCAATGGGCTACCAAAATCAGAAAGCTACTATAAAATGCAATGAAGTCTTTATATGATGCTCTAAACAGGAAAAGTTTAGAGTGAGGGTTGACATCTCCCATTTAGCATGTTGTTTAACAACTTTTCCCAAGCTGACCCTCACTTTCCGGAAGTGAAATGAAAATGGCAGAATTTCTCTGAAGACCTACAGTCTAGAAATGGAATTGCTGCTCTTTTGCGGGCAGCAGATTGCTTGCTGCTCTTTTGTGGGCAAGTCCAGATTGCTTGACATACTGGTAACCAATTATTGAGGGTCAGGTACCAAAAGGT
The DNA here is from genome assembly GCF_000001405.40 of Homo sapiens. Taxonomy (NCBI): domain Eukaryota; kingdom Metazoa; phylum Chordata; class Mammalia; order Primates; family Hominidae; genus Homo; species Homo sapiens. The sequence goes on along the minus strand of NC_000003.12, from coordinate 167,959,431 downwards.
GACTGGATTTAAGGGAGTTAAGCCTATGCTTCGAAGGTGGAAAGGGAGAAAAAACATTAAAATGAATTTGTTTTTCTACACCACGAGCATTTGTGCTAAGTTGGATATGTGTGTCAATGCCAGAGAATCTCTTCTGGGAGCTAAGAGGAAGTCTCAAAACTAGAAGGGAAAGGTGTTTTCCCCACATCAATCCAGCTTCAGTGACATTCTATTAGTGACATATGACCCTTTCCAAAAAACAATAAAGTGTTCTGTGAGCTAACAGCATAGCTTAAATTCTACATTTTTATAAAACTTGATAAAAAATAGTACTTCAAATTGTACAGTCACCAGAAGTCCAGAGTTATCAAAAAATGCACACACTTCACTTGTCATCTCAGAACACCTTTAACTTTCTGTGCTTGGTCTGTTTTGACATCTTTGTTTATTGCAAAGTTATTTCCATCCTTGCCGACATAAGTTTTTCTCTTTTTCTCTTTATATAAACATTCTCCCTTCTTTGTAGGGGCCTTTTCTGGCTTGGGCTCTAGCTTTGGAGAAGGAGGTCTAGCAGACAATCTTGTGGATCTTTTCTGTGGTCTGTTCTTAACCTTGTTTCATCCTTCAGCCTTTTTCTTGGGCATGGTGTCAACAGCTGCGAGTTGTAGGTACTGGCTGCAGGGATGCAGCTATACATGAGCTTTGTTGGGTCCAGGGGTCATTCTCACCTTTTCACACTGCTCACATGGCATTGAAAAGTATCCTTTGATGTTGATTAAGGTGGGATGTTTTTTCTATTCCTCACAGATTTTCTATTTGGTTATTTACAAGTTGTTATTATGTAGATCTGAAGTTCAGTGGTTATAAATATTTGTTAGAAGGAACTGTCCTGAACTGAACTGTTTAGAAGGAAACACTGAATGTTGTCCCTGGATCAATTAGTTCAGTTGGAGGACCATGGCAGTAAAGAAGGGTCCAGTTGCTATTACAGCCACTGGTTTGTTTTCCCCTCACAACAAAAATATTTTTGTGCTGACATAAAACTTACCCTAATCTCAATTAGATGGGATGCAAATGTGTGTGAATGAGTCACAGCCATTTATCAACGAGTCTGAATAAGCAGCTTAGTATCATGACTCTGGGTCAATAATATAATGTTTATAGAGAGACAACACATTATCAAAGTCAGTCACACTTATTGAGCAATAAGGTGAAGTTTAAAACTGAATAAGAAATTCCTAACTCCTTCTTTCATCTATTAGCTGCTCCTAAATGTTCCAAATTTAGAAACTAAAATCTATTTTGTGTATTCTTAAAAGTTTACTATGTTCCCCAAACCCCCAGGTTTTAGCTAACAGAGCCAACTGAGAGGCAGATATATTGACTTATTAATAAATTATCATGATTAATAAATCAAAATTATTTATTATTTTAAAAACTCTTGTCACACTACTCTGTGAAAATTATAAGGCAAAACTGACTTTGGAGAACTACTTAAGCCTTTCTTTCTAATTTCTCTGCCCCAGTAAGCATGTTGTAAGGTTTCGACTTGGTAGTAAATTAATGATTGACATTGAAATAACAATCTTTATAAATTAGGTACTGAAATAAATGAATGAAAAAAATAGCACTGTAGTCTAAATGATATCAGTAATTTTCAAATTTAGACTATTAAATTTTAGAATGATCAAGAAAATAAAAGCTCATTTTCTTTTTAATGATGATTCCTTTTAAGAAAATAAATGCTCTTCATAGAAAATTAGAAAAAATAAAATGATAAAGAATAAAACTAAATGGCCTACTTATATTCTGTGATAAGAATATAACTCAGTGTAATTTTTATTCTAAATTGATGAATTATAATTGTATGTATTTATGGGGTACAAAGTGATGTTATGATTTTTAAATACAATGTGGACCAGCGTGGGTTTCCTGGGAAGTGTCTCAGAATGCTGGGGAAGCTGGATGTGCATCTCCAGTTCTCTTTTCCTCTTGGAGGATACATAGGCTTACGGGAATCCTCCCCATGTGGCCTTGTGCCTATCTGGGGGAGAGGGAGGAGTGGTATCATCAAAGTGAAACTTTCTGATGCAACTTTCATCCAGTTCTGTGGTCCATGCAGGTGTCCACATGGACATTATATATATGAAATATATATATAAATATATAAGAATATATATTTACATGAGTATATATAAATATATTTTTAATGTTTTTAAAATAAAAATGTAAATATCTATTCGTAAATATTGTCAATTATTCTGTGAAGATGTTATACCAAGAAGATTAAACTTGAGCAAGATGGCAGAATAGGAAGTCTTAGGCTTCACTACTTCCTCCCAACAGAAAGTTTAACTAACAACTATCCACAGACAAGAACATCTTTGTGAAAACCCCAATGCTTGAGAACAAGCCTTGACCAAATGTTTTAAATAGTTAAGTCACTTTGAGTCTTTTAATGTGGAAAATCTTTCTTCCACTCCACTCTGTTTTCATATATGGAGATGTGCCCTTTATCAGCATTCAGATATCAGGATTTGGTTTGGATTTCATTTATTGATGTGTCATTCTGCTCAACTAGCAATGTGCTTTGAATATGATGTTCATATAAATAATTAAGATATAAATTACATATGATAGAATAATCTTGTAAGTGGGCATTCTTTTTGATGATAAGCTAAAGCGTTTCGTAAAGATAATGAATAAACTTCCCTCCAAAAATTAGTAATGTTTCAAGGATGTTAGATTTTGTTAGGATTCAAAATACAAGAGGGAGAAAGATGTTTGGCTTCTGAGCAGGAACCTTTGCAGTACGAGCATGAAAAGATAGAATTAAATATGAGTGATGCTGAGGAAGGCAAGAAGATTTTTGTTTAGAAGTGTCCCCAGTGTCACACCATGGAAAAGAGGGGCAAGCACAAGACTGGGCCATATCTCCATGATTTCTGGGCAGAAGACAGGTCAGGCTGCTGCGTTCTCTTATACAGATGCCAGCAAAAACAAAGACATCAGCTGGGGAGAGGAGACACTGATGTAGTATTTGGAGAATCCAAAGAAGTACATCTCTGGAACAAAAATGATCTTCTCTGGCATTTAGAAAAAGACAGAAAGAGTAGACTTGATAGCTTATCTCAAAAAAGTTACTGATGTGTAATAATTGGCCATTGCTTTATCTATTACAAAAAAGAAATGTCTCGTGATTTTTTTATGTGTACCATAATTTAACTGATCTCATACACCAGAATCCAGATCATAAATGACTGACAGGATATTTTTGTTGGGGAGTCCTGATTTAAGTAAGACTGGCTTGTGGTTAAATAAACACGATAAGTTTTTTAAAAATTGGTAACAATTCTAATCAGTAAATGCTGTCACTGTTTTCTCTCAGCCAAATCCACATACAAGGGACATACCTCAATCTAATAAAAGCCATCTATGACAAACCCACAGCCAACAAAATACTGAATGGGGAAAAGTTTAAAGCATTCCCTCTGAGAACTGGAACAAGAGAAGGATGCCACTCTCACCACTTCCCTTTAACATAGTACTGGAAGTCCTAGCCAGAGCAATCAGACAAGAGAAAGAAAGAAAGGGCATTCAAATTGATAAAAAAGATTGTTTTTATCAATCCTTTTTTGCTATATGGCCAAATTGTTGCTGTTTGCTGATGATAAGATAGTATAACTAGAAAACCCTAAAGACTTCTCCAAAAAGCTCCTAGAACTGATAAAAGAATTCAGCAGTTTCCAGATACAAAATTAATGTACACACAGTAGCTCTCCTATACACCAACAGCAACCAAGCCAAAAATCAAATCAAGAACTCAACTCTCTTTACAATGGCTGATATATATATATATAATGTATGTATATATATGCACACATATATATGTGTATATATATGCACACATATATATGTGTATATATATGCACACATATATATGTGTATATATATGCACATATATATGTGTATATATATGCACATATATATGTGTATATATGTGTCATATATATTTGTATGTGTGTGTATATATGTGTGTATTATATATATACACATATATACGTATATATATGTGCATATACACACACACACACACACACACACATATATATGTATGAATATACCTAACCATGGAGGTGAAAGACCTCTACAAGGAAAACTACAAAAACACTGCTGAAAGAAATCATAGATGACACAAACAAATGGAAACACATCCCATGCTCATAGATAGTTAGAATCAATATTATGAAAATGACCATACTGCCAAAAGCAATCTTCAAATTCAGTGCAATTCCTGTCAAAATACCACCATCCTTCTTTACAGAACTAGGAAAAACAATCCTAAAATTCATATGAAACCAAAAAAGAGCCCTCATAGCCAAAGCAAGACTAAGCAAAAAGAACAAATCTGGAGGCATCATATTACCTGATTTTAAACTATACTATAAGGCCATAGTCACCAAAATAGCATGGTACTGGTATAAAAATAGTCACATAGACCAATGGAAAAGAATAGAGAACCCAGAAATAAAGCCAAATACTTACAGCCAACTGATCTTCAACAAAGCAAACAAAAACATAAAGTGGGGAAAGGGCCGGGTCTAGTGGCTCACACCTGTGATCCTAACACTTTGGGAGGCAGAGGTGGGTGGATTGTCTGAGTTTGAGACCAGCCTGGCCAACATGGTGAAACCTCATCTCTACTAAAAATACAAAAAATTAGCCAGGTGTGGTGGTGCATGCCTGTAATCCCAGCTACGCAGGAGGCTGAGGCAGGAGAATTGCTTAAACTCAGGAGGCAGAGGTTGCAGTGAGACGAGATCGTGCCATTGCACTCCAGCCTGGGCGACAGAGTGAGACTCTGTCTCAAAAAAAAAATAAAATAAAATAAAAAATAAAGTGGGGAAAGGACACCCTGTTCAATAAATGGTGCTGGGATAATTGGTAAGCCACATGCAGGAGAATGAAACTAGATACTCATCTCTCATCTTATACAAAAATCAACTCAAAATGGATCAAGGACTTAAATCTAACACCTGAAACTATAAATATTCTAGAAGATAACATCAGAAAAACCCTTCTAGACATTGGCTTAGGCAAGGATTTCATGGCCAAGAACCCAAAAATAAAGACACAATAAAGACAAAGATAAATAGCTGGGACTCAATTAACCTAAAGAGCTTCTGCACAGCAAAAGCAACAGTCAGCAGAGTAAACAGACAACCCATAGAGTGGGAGAAAATCTTCACAATCTATAAATCTGACAAAGGACTAATATCCAGAATCTACAACAAACTCAAGCAAATTAGCAAGAATAAAAACAAGCAATCCCATCAAACAGTGGGCTAATGACACGAATAGATAATTCTCAAAAGAAGATATACAAATGGCCAACAAACATATCAAAAAATGCTCAATATCAATAATGATCAGGAAATGCAAATCAAAACCACAATGTGCTACCACCTTATTGCTGCCAGAATGGCCATTATCAAAAAATAAAAAACTAATAGATGTTGGCACGGATGTAGTGAACAGGGAACACTTCTACACTGTTGGTGGGAATGTAAACTAGTATAACACTGTGGAAAGCAGTGTGAAGATTCCTCTAAAGAGCTAAAAGTAGGAGTACCATTTGATCCAGCAATCCCCGTAATGGGTATCTAGCCAGAGGAAAAGAAGTCTTTATATGAAAAAGATATTTACACACTCATGTTTATAGCAGCTCAATTCACAATTGCAAAAATGTGGAACCAACCCAACTGCCCATCAACCAAAGAACGGATAAAGAAACTCTGGTATAGATATACGATGGAATACTACCCAGCCATAAAAAGGAATGAATTAATAGCATCTGCAGTAACCTGGGTAGGACTGGAGACTATTATTCTAAGTGAAGTAACTCAGGAATGGAAAATCAAACATCCTATGTTCTCACTCATAAATGAAAGCTAAGCTGAGGATGCAAAGGCATAAGAATGACACGGTAGACTTTGGGGACTCAGGGGGAAAGGATGGGAAGGTGATGAGGGATAAAAGACTACAAATTGGGTTCAAGATATACTGCTTATGTGATGGATGCACAAAATCTCACAGATCACCACTAAAGAACTTACTCATGTAACCAAATACCACCTGTTCCCCAAAAAACCTATGGAAATTTTTTTTTAAACTTAGTTTAGGCTAAAAACCTCTTTGAAGTTGTTTCGAATATCAGATATAACAATCCAATGCACCTCAGCATGGGCTGGTTTTTTTTCTTAGAGGCTACCGCATACTCATGGATTTAGCATTTCAATGAGTGGAAGCGAGGACTCTGCATTCATAAGAATAAGCTTTGCCAATTGCCCTGGGCTTTGAAGAAACGCTGTCTCCACCATTTTTTTTTTAAACATATATAACCACTTATAAAAATATAAAAAAAGTAAATTCTATTAATCTTTTCTCCTTCTAAAGATATGATTAGACCTAATTAGTACTGTTCAACTTTTCACAGAGATGGGGAAATGTCATCTGACAACCTATTGGAGATTGGTTTTATATTTAGATTTCTATTAGTCATAGAAATCTAAATATGATAAAAATATAGTAAATGATATTAAATATATTCTAATAAATATAGATAAATTAATATATTATATATAAACATATGATAATAATATATAACTGAATATATTTAAATACTGGGGAAATTCATTCACAGTCTCAGAACAAAGCATGATTTACTTGGGTTTTAATTTGTGTTCATCAGCTTGTTAAAGGCAAGGGCTGACGATAAGGTAGCAATGTCTGCTTTATATTTTTGACTTTCATGCCAATCTAATTAGAATTATCTGAATCTAAAATGCTACATTTTATTTATTGAAAGGCATTTTAATGTGGTTTATGTATAATATCACATAAAGAATATTTAACACTTCTCCCATTTTACAGACAATCTATAAGGTCAGATGCCTTTAAAAGTCAGTGTGACAAGAAATAGCAGCATGTTAAACTTTGCTTTTGAGCTCTTTACTAAGTCAGACTAATTTATAATTTAGAATTGTCTTTTAACAGCTATTCAGAAGCATAGAAAATGGTAGAACTGTGTATGTGTGATTGGTAATAGTGATTTTCAACTCATTAGAAGGAATGAAGTAGAGGAGATACACACAAATTTATGAATTATGTGTGACCATAAGACTTAAAATAATTTTTTAAAAAATCACGATTTTAAAAATATATAAAATGCCATATGAAATGACTTCAATAGGTTAGAATAGACTTATGTCTAAGATGAGGGGAGCTGAATGAGACTTTAAATAAATTTTAAAATTAATCTTCTTAGCAGAAATGCCAGTTATTGAAAATTATTTATCATAGGCAGGTATCTGATGCCTCTTGGTTAGTAATTTTTTCAAAATTATGACTCTCCTCAAAAACAGTCATACAGCTTAATGACAGTTTCCCCTTGTTTAAAGGTATGTTTCTATTTCATTTCTCTAGCAATTTTTAATAGCTTTACTGCAGATCTTTGGGCATACTTTAGAAGGTATGCCATTCTCTATTGCCCTGACAATTGGATGATACATTTCTGTCAATTCCAGAGATTAAAAAATACTAGTATCTTTTAAATTTGTTTTAAATTTGATAGACAGTGAGGACCAAGGAGTGGATGAAGTCCTTACTTGGTAATAAAGAGGATTTACTTCATGGCAATTTTGGTGATATTATGAAACCAATAGAAATTATGATGTCTGAGGTAAGGCTGTCTTTGCTTAAGATTATAAGGGTTAACAATTTCTCTGCTTCATTGCTAAAGATAAACACCTCCTGGGAGTAAGTGCTATTTTGCTTCACATAAACACAAGTGCACATTTACAATCTGTCTTTTTCAGAATATGGGCATCACCTATGCTGAGTGTTGGCCCACAGCTGGGATTAGAATGACACAAAATTATTTAGTCCATTTTACAAGTGTAACTTTTTTTCTGGGTGGTTTGGTTTGTCTGTTTTATAAGTATCACCTTGGCTCTTTTCATTTTTAGGAGTACGTCAGTTTTACAGTTAATATATAAAACTTTAAATGCCATATTCAGGGGACATTTATAAGAGTGTTCCCTGCTGTCTACATCATTTTCCACCAATCATCAAAACTTGACAGGTAGCCTTGTGATGAATACTTTAAAAGACTGAGAACATTATCTTTCACTAAGAAATGCTACCTGTGGGATGAATCAGATATTGAATAAAAGCCAAAGCTTTTAGGAATACTATTAATGTCCTGGGTATGCCAAAATATCTTGGTTGGCATATTAATGAAAAAATTGTTGACTGTGGATTTCCAATTCTGATTTCTTTTTGAGATTTTGCTTTACCTCATCTCAATAACAATAGTAATAACAATGGTAATGAGAGCTAACCTAAATTAAACATGTACTATATGGCTGTTTATTTGATAAGGATACACTATCTTATGAGGTAGATAGTGCTGTTCTTTTCATTTCATGTGAAGAAACTGATACTCTGTGTATCAGTTTTCTATTTATTCATAACAAATCACTACATATTTAACAGCTTAAAATAACAGCCATTTAATAGCTCATAGTTCTGTAGGGCAGAAGTCCAGGGGCCACATGGCTTGGTTCTCTTCTTAGGATCTCACAATGCAAAAATCAAGATGTCAGCTGGGCTGCGTTCTCATCTGGAGCCTCTGGGGAAGAATCTACTTCCAAGCTCTTTCAGGTTGTTGGCAGAATCTAGTTCCTGGAGACTGTGGAACCGAAGTCCCCAGTTCCTTGCTGGCTATCAGCTGGGGGTCACTCTGCTCCCAGAAGTTGCCCACATGCCCTTGCCATGTGGCCCTTCCATCTTTAAAGAAGACAGCAGAAATGTCTCTTGACAAAGAAATCTCTGATTTGTTTGTCTCGGACCTCTAGACCCAGACTTAAAAGGCTCATGTGGTAAGTCAGGTTCATCCTTTCTTAGAGTCAATTATGCAATATTAAACCATGGGAGTGGTTATTCTATAACATTCACAGTTCACATCCACACGCAAGGAGCAGAACATTATACAGGGAGTGGTTCACTGCAGGTGATGTAATAATTCTGCCTGCTACACTCTGATGGCATAAATAACTTTCCTAGGCAACACATCCAAAATTTACTGACATTTGAACCGATGGCTGACACTGGAGCTTTGCCTGTTTTGCCACATGGACCGCACGTATTGAATTTAAAGCTACAGATTAAGTAGAGAATGTCAGGCCATTATATTAGTATTAAATGATGTTCCTTGGAATTCTGGGGTGGTCCTCAATAGAACATAACATCTTTTGCCTCATTCTAAACTCATATTTGTTTTGTTTCTTTAATGTTATCACCACGATACATGTATTTAGTTTAAAAATCATCACCATGAAGCTTATTTTTACTTTTTATTTTGGAATAAACTTCACTTCCATAAAAGCTACAAAACTTAAAAGTCCCATATACCTATTACAAGATTCCTCAGTTATTAACATTGTGTTACATTTAACTTACCATTTTCTCTATATGTGCATATTATTTTTAATAGATTTGTGATATGATTTACATTATCATAAAGTTCACCTGTTAAAAGTTCATAATTCAATGATTTTTAGTACATTTGTAGTGCAACCATCACTTTAATCTAAGTTTAGATTACTTCCATCACCCCCTAAAGAAACGTTACACCCATTATTGGTTATTCTCCTCCTTCCTCCACTTAGCTCTAGCTAACTACAGTCTACTCTCCATGTCTGTAGATTTGCTGATTGTGGCCATTTCATATAGATAGATTTATACAATATGTGGTTCTTTGTGCCTGGCTTCAATCACTTATCATAATGTTTTCAGGTTCATCCATGTTGTAGCACCTATCCATACTTAATTCCTTTTAATGGGGACATGATTTTCCATTGTATAGATATACTACATTTTGCATATCCTTTTATCTGTTGTTGGACATTTGAGTTGTATGTACTTTTTGTCTATTTTAAATATTCAATATTTTTTGAATTCAATATTTTACTTTTTTATTAAATATTCAAATTGTTTGCCCATTTTAAAATACTGTTATTTCTATGTAAGTTATGAGATTTTTATATATGTGACAGTTCTTCTTAACAATTAAAAAATATACATATTTTTAATTGACTCACAATAATCATTTAGATTTATGAAGCATACCGTGATATTTTGATATTTGTATAAAATAAATAATAGTTGAATCAGGGTAATTAGAGTATCTACCACCTCAAACATTTATCATTTCTTAGTGTAGGAAACATTCAAAATTCTCTCTTCTATTTGAAAAAATACAATGAATTATTGTTTATTATAGTCACCCTACATTGCTATAGAATACTAGAACTTATTCCTCCTATCTACCTATAATTTTGTATTCATTATCCAAACTCTTCCTATCCTCTCTTCTTCCTATCCTTCCTAGACTCTAGTAGCCACTATTCTACTTTCTACTTCTATAAGAGCAACCCTTTTTTAGTTTTCACATGTGAGTGAGACCATACAGTATTTGTCTTCCTGTGCCTGACTTATTTTACTTAATATAATGTCCTCCACGCTCTTCCAGGGTTCAGCAAATGATGGGATCTCATTCATTTTTAAGGCTGTATAGTATTCCATATGTCTATTACAATTTCTTGATTCATCTGTGGATGGACACATAGGTTGATTCCATATCTTAGCTATTGTGAATAGTGCTGCAATAAACAAGAGAGTGCAAATATCCCTTCAGCATACTTCTTTCTTTTCCTTTGGATATGTACCCAGTTGCGGGATTTCTGGATTATACAGTTCTAGTTTTAGCTTTTAGAGGAAACTCAACACTGTTTTCATTAATGGCTGTACTAATTTACATTCCCACTTACAGTGTATGAGTTCCCTTTTCTTTACATCCTCAACAACATTTGTCTTTTGTCTTCTTGCTAATAGCCATTCTAACTGGGGTGATATAATATTTCATTATGGTTTCCATTTGCATTTCCCTGATGATTAGAGATTTTAGGCATTTTTTTATGAATCTGTTGGCTATTTGTAAGTCTTCATTTGAAAAATGTCTACTTAGATCTTTTGCCCAATTTTAAAAAGGATCATTTGGTTTTGTGCTATTGAGTTCCAGTACATAGCCTGGATATTAATCCCTTATGCAATGAATGTTTTGCAAATATTTTTCTCCCATTCTTCAGGTCATCTCTTCACTCTGTTGATTGTTTACTTTACTGTGTACAAGCTTTTTAGTTAGAAATAATCTCATTTGTCTATTTTTGCTTTTGTTGCCTGTGCTTTTGAGGTCTTCACCATAAAATGTTTGCCTAGACATATGTCTGGGAGGATTTCTCCTATGTTTTCCTCAAGCACTTTAACAGATTCAGGTCTTGCATTTTGATCTTGATTTTTTTTAGCTGATTTTGTGTATGGTGATAGGGGTCT